>NC_000023.11:91856481-92159511 GCF_000001405.40 Homo sapiens | reverse complement strand
AGTATCATAACCCTTTCTCAGGAGTTTTGTAATACTAAACTATACTGGCCGTTACTCAGACTATGGAATCTTTAAAAAATGATAATATATTTTTAAAATGATAATATAATGAGTTTACACTATACAAAGAATTCATAGATGTGAATTCTTCTCCACTATGTAGAATATTTTTTTATATTCAATACATGTTGAATTTTTGCAGTGGGTCACATGAGAGAGAACACAGCAAACCTCCTACATCCACATCTGAAAATACAGCAGACCGAGAGATTCTACCTACATATGATTCCATTAACTAGGACTTCCAAACTTTATTTCTCATTATTATTTCATATGTTCTTCTATAATATTTAGCTTATATTCCTGCTAAAGTTTCTTTACTTTTTAATATTTATATTAGAAGAGCAAGAATTTAATTATTAGCATGCCAATTTGATAGTAGCTACAAAATCCATGAGATATTAAGATATTTTTGTAATATGTACTTATTTTTGTGCTTAAAATCTTAGAGTCAGTGCAGAACAATGCAGACAAATAAAGCAAGTGTAGTTTGCTAAATATAAAAGTTATCTATTCTAGGCTGGGCCCAGTGGCTCACGCCTGTAATCCCAGCACTTTGGGAGGCCGAGGTGAGCAGATCACGAGGTCAGGAGATCGAGACCATCCTGGCCAACAAGGTGAAACCCTGTCTCTACTAAAAATACAAAAATTAGCTGGGCATGGCAGCGCGTGCCTGTAACCTCAGCTACTCGGGAGGCTGAGGCAGGAGAATCGCTTAAACCTAGGAGGCGGAGGTTTCAGTGAGCCGAGATCCCGCCACTGAACTCCAGCCTGGTGACAGAGCTAGACTCTGTTTCAAAAATATATATATATTCTGAAAAAAGACTAGAAAACATTACCATTCAGGCAATCTTAAAATCAAAGTTAATAAATACAAAGACAAATAAAGTAAGGAGTCAACTATCTATTAAATAAATTTCCTTTTCTTTTTTTCTTTTTTTTGAGACAGTCTCTTGCTCTGTCACCCAGGCTGGAGTGCAGTGGCATGATCTAAACTTACTGTAACCTCTGCCTCCCAGGTTCAAGCAATTCTTGTGCCTCAGCCTCCTGAGTGGCTGTGATTACAGGCATGCACCACCACACCCAGCTAATTTTTGTATTTTTAGTAGAGATGGGGTTTCTCCATGTTGGCCAGGCTCTATCTAATAAATACATTTCCTATGAAGTGCAAGTATTTAGCATTTTAAAATTATTAACTATTAAAAGTATTCTTGATTTTTGTTTTGTTTTGTTTTTAGAAAGAGTCTTGCTCTTGTTGCCCAGGCTGGAGTGCAGTGGCACAATCTCAGCTTACGGCAACCTCTGCCTCCCCAGTTCAGGCAATTCTCCTGCCTCAGCCTCCCCAGTAGCTGGGATTACAGGTGCCTGCCACCACGCCCAGGTGATTTTTTGTAATTTCAGTAGAGACAGGGTTTCACCATGTTGGTCAGGCTGGTCTCGAACTCCTGAACTCAGGTGATCCACCCACCTCAGCCCCCCAAAGTGCTGGGATTACAGGCATGAGCTACCGCGACCGGCCTTCTTGATATTTTATAGTCCAGAACAGAAAGACTTTCATAAACTGATTTTCAACATATAATTGATTTTTTCCATGTCATAAGAACATGATTAAATACTATAATTGATATTATTTAAATGTTTATTGATATTATAAAAATTAACACAAAAAATTCTAAAAGAAAATCTTGATAATGAAAGCACAAACCTTGTAAGAATAAAATGTGTTTAAATTCAAACTGAGCTTCTAAGTGGATACTGATAATGTGACCGAGAGCAAATGAAAAGTGTGTATTTGAGTCTATAACAATTATTTATTCATTTTAATGTAAATGTCATTTTAACAAAAACTAACGTATTGCCAGAACCACCTCATTTTAAATATTTCCCTGACGTGCTTTAAAATCGTTTTCTTATAGTGACTCACCATGTACTGAAACAACTTTCTTTTACACTCTGTCATTTTTATTTGGTTTATTGACTAATCGTTCTATCCTTTTGCCATTAAATGGATCTATATCCTTCACTTTAACCCTTTCCTAATAATGAAAGGCAAATTACATTAATACTCAGTAGGAATAAAAAAATTATACACTATTTGTAAGTTGTTAACAGTGCAATTAAATCATTATTTACCATGATCACCAGAGGAATAGTAGAAGATAAACAATTTGATAAAGTTAAGGTGAGGCAGAACAGGGGCCTTTAGCTCTCTAATAGGTAACTGTTTTAATTCAGACGTTCATAAAAGCCACAATCCTGCACACCAGGAAGATGCCTTAGTGTATAGCTCCCAAAGCTAAGGGACATTAGATAGAATTTCTTTGCCGAATTTTAGGTTTAGAAAATGTGCTCTAATGGTCTTCTGAATAATTAAACCTATGTTTTGGCATAGAACAGACCGCAACCATTGGATTTTGTATTCCAGGGACAGATTTTTGGAAGTGGTAATGGATTTGCTACATAAACCTCCTGCCTTAGTTAAAGTGTATTCAAATCTCTCTTATGAAGGTCGTTTTAAGCTTATCCAAGCTGAAGTTAAATATAAGTACCACTGCTGTCTTTTGACTTCTTATGCAGAAAGCATGTTAGCATGTTTACTTCACACGTGTGAAGTGATTCTTTGTATGTGATTTTAACCATCCAATTCCACATACATACAAACACATAATGAGTATATAAATGGTAGTATATCAAATTAAACTATGCAAGGAATGGAAATTCCTACTGGAATGGATTAACAACTCTAATATGCTAGAATTGTAAGAACGGGGTATAAGTTACATTCCTTCATTCATTTATTGAGTGCCTATTCTAGGCCATACATTCTACTAGGTGCTGGCAATACAGAAATGTCTGCATTCACAGTGATTTTAGTTAGGAAGAAAGGATGAAATGCATACGTTAGAAATTATTAAATACTATGGTATGTTAGATGGTACTAGTGCTCTGAAAAAGATCAGGGAAAGATTATATGGAGTGCATTTGATGTGTGTGGGAGTATAGTTGCAATTTTTAACAGGACGGTCAGGGAAGACCTCACTGAAAAGGTGACATTTAAGCAAAGATTTGAAGGGGTAAGAACTTGCATCGTATAAATATCATGTGATATTTATGCAATAGAATCAGTCAGTGCAAAGATCCTAAGGAAAGAGCACACCCAGCAGCTTCAAGAGACAACAAGGAGACTATGTGAACAAGGAATGGGGGGGCGGATAGGAGATGAAGTCTGAGAGGTAACTGGAGCGGGTGCAGGTTGTGCCCTCTTAAGAGTGTACTTGTTGGATAATCAATCCTATGGTCTCTTTATTTATTATTTTGTCATAAAAAATGTCACAGGGGAGGCCCTCAACGATCTTGAAGTCTTTGCTCTTTACTGTGTAAATTGACAAACCATAGTGTGTTCTGAACGGAGAAATAGCATGATCTCAGTTATATCTGAGTCTCTCTGGCTGCTTTGTTGAGACTTGACATGGAGGGGACGGGAGAGGAAGCAGAGAGAGCAGTTAAGAAGCTACTGAAGTAACTGCCGGGCTCGGTGGCTCACGCCTGTAATCCCAGGGCTTTGGGAAGCCGAGGCAAGCGGATCACGAGGTCAGGAGATCGAGACCATCCTGGCAAATATGGTGAAACCCCGTCTCTACTAAAAATACAAAAAAAATTAGCCGGGCGCGGTGGCGGGCCCCTGTAGTCCCAGCTACTCCGGAGGCTGAGGCAGGAGAAGGGCGTGAACCCGAGAGGTGGAGCTTGCAGTGAGCCGAGATGGCGCCACTGCACTCCAGGCTGGGCGACAGAGCGAGACTCTGTCTCAGGAAAAAAAAAAAAAAAAAAAAAAAAGCTATTGAAGTAACTGAGGTGACAGTCAATGGAGGCTTGGACCAGAGTGGTAGTGGTAGAGGTGATAAGGAGCGAGAGGTTTCCAGGTATATTTTGAAAAAAGAGCCAAAGTGTGTGAAAGAAAAAAGACAATGCCAAGGTTTTTGGCCTGAGGAAGTGGAAAGATGGTATTAACATTTCCTGAGATAAAGAAAACTGTTAAAGCACCAGGTTTGATAGTAAAATGTTAATTTGGAATAGGAATGGAATAATTTAACCTCAATTTAAAACTAGAGTTAAGCTTTCTCCACATGGTAAATCTTTGGGTCATCTCCAGCAGCATTTTTTAATGAGAAAATAATAGATAAAGAGACTATAGGATTGATAATCCAACCAGTACGGTCTTGAGAGTGAATGTCAGTATTAATATATCATATCATAATTAAACAGGCAAGGTTCCCCTGTCCCTCTCGCAGGGCATGCGATGGGGGTGTGGCTCTCTTCTTCAGTGCCCCACTGTATGCTCAAAGGAGAGCATACAGACGGGCAGGCTGTGGGGCTCTGACACCACGGCAGTGTTTAGCGGTGCATATTTACAGCTGAAGCCCCGGTGGGATGTGTTACAGGGTGCTCTTTGTTTTGCTGTCTATAGGTGGCTTGTGTTAACCAACGCAGACCCCCTTCCTTATCATAAGGACAGAGGGATTTCTGTATCCCGGGGTTTCCTGCCTTGGTGTACGGGAAGAATCGGATCACACGTGGGCTTGGAGAATGAGTGCAAGATTTTATTGAGTAGGAGTAGGTCTGGGCAGATGGGGGAGCCAGAAGGGAGATAGTTTTCCCCCGGAATCGGGCCGCTCGGTGACCGGACTTTTCTCCGACGGCTCTGGCCAGACTCTGTGTTGTTCCACTAGTCAATGGCCTGCCGGGCGAGCTATTTTGCCATCTGCCCTGGATGACCAGCCGCTTGTGTCTTCTTCCGCCGATGTGTTCCTCACGCTGTCCAGCCGCTTGTGTGTCTGCCCACTAGGGTCTCGGGTTTTTATAGGCCCAGGATGGAGGCATGGTGGGCCAGGGTGGTCTTGGAAAATGCAACATTTGGGCGGGAAAGCAGGAGTGCCTGTCCTCACCTAGGTCCTTTGGGGTGGAGCCCTAGCCAGGGACATGCTTTTCTCTACGCAGAGTTTCCCTGCCCCACTTCCGTATCAATAATAATGTGCATAAACCAGATTGTCCCAGAAAAACTGACAAAATTAGATTAAGACAAAGAGTAACTACTGAGAATTTAACTCATGTGTCATGTACCAAAGTGATTTTTTCTTAATGGCATAGAAGAGATTCCATATTGAAATGCCTTAAATATCTTATCCTGAAGTATCTTAAATCACTTACATTATATAATGTCATTAAATAATAAACTTGATCAATAACGGAATGAAATCTGAGAAAACTGATGGTCAAATGCCCTCCTTTCCAATCAATAGATAGGTAGACTGATTTCCACTTACATATACACACCTCATCACAGCAGAGTTCATTCATCAAAATTGAATTCAATTTACAGTTCAGCTCTTACAAAGTTGTCTCAACCTATTTTTGTGCTATATTTGTATTTAGCCTGCTCATTTATGGCTCATATTTAAAAAATTTTTCACAGGCATTAACTTTTGGCGTTCTTCTACCAGTAATAACTATCTTTTTGTTGTTGCTTGTTGCTAATGGTGCTTTTATCCTCCTTTGTTATTTGTTTTCATCAAAAATATTACAGAAACTTGCAATAAAACAGCTTAACAGACAAGAGCACTTGGTTTTTATCGTAACTGCTGCTACATCTGTTGTTTCCTTAGAATTAGCATTGGCATTAAAATATACAGTCTTTACCAAAACTTTAAATTTCCTTGATGATAGAATTCTTGTTGCTCCTGCCATGCTCACCATCCCAATGAATGCCTGCTTCTTCTTCACCTACCAGATGTAGTGAATGAGAGAAATCCTTTAGATAATAAAAATGATATACAATTTTGAAAGATTAGTAAACATACAGGCAACATAAAAAATGCCTCCATTCTCTAAGTAAAATAATCACCTACAGGAGAAATATCTGAAACCACTTCACATTTCAATAAACACCTAATTGTGCTTAAACTTGCTATTACATTATTTAGTTTATCAGTTTGATAAAAAGTAAACCACTATAAATCACTAACAAGCAATTAATTATTATTTCTAGGCTAAATACAAAACTCAGTGCGGCTCTGTTTTATAGGATTGTCTTCTGTGTGTGTGTGTGTGTGTGTGTGTATATTTATTTATTTATATGTAATATAAGATGGCATTGCAATCTGTAATAGGATTGGCATTTTATTCCAGTTAGATTTGTTTCATAAAAATTAAAGTTAAAATTTCAGACAAAGGAACTATACAGATGCATCCTCCTGTAGGTCGATTGTCAGATTTTGTGATACATGTTTTAATGTGCTAAGTATACCCCCTTGGGAAAACCTGTTTTCAAAACAATTTAACTAAGTCTTATCAGCAGTTAATATCGAAAGAGGCCAGGTGCGGTGGCTCACGCCTGTAATCTCAGCACTTTGGGAGGCCAAGGTGGGCGGATCACCTGAGGTCGGGAGTTCAAGACCAGCCTGGCCAACATGGCAAAACTCCATCTCTACTAAAAATACAAAAATTAGCCAGGTGCCTGTAATACCAGCTACTTGGGAGACTGAGGCAGGAGAAGCACTTGAACCTGGGAGGCGGAGGTTGCACTGAGCCGAGATCACGCCACTGCACTCCAGCCTGGGCGACAGAGCTAGACTCCGTCTCAAAAAATAAATAAATAAATACATACATACATACATACATACATACATACATACATACATACATAAAATAAAAATATAGAAAATATTTTTTAAATTTTTAAATTACAATTTTAAATGTTTAATACTTTAGTTTTTTGCTAATGAAGAAAACTTTGTCATTCTGAAGTGAACTTCACAGGATTATTCTATCAGTATTTTGTGAATGCATATATGCATAAACACAAAAATATTCATTTATTTTAAATAAGCAAAGACTCTTGAAACAAAAGTTTAAAGTGCAATTCTAAAGTACATTGTCTTAATGACCTTCCTTTCACCATATGAACAATTTTAGTGCTCCAAGTAATCAAGAAGTGTTCATGAAGGATAACTGAAGCTATACAAGAAAATATACATTTGATTTAATATTTTTTTTAATTTGGGGAAAGAGTCTACTACTTTGCATTATAATTGAAAAGTACATAAAATTATATTGACTGGACTATCTGACTAATACTAAAAATAAACCAAAACAAAGTAATATTTCATTCAGTTACTGGCATAAAATGATTTTGTTTTCTGACTTCAGTGTTGGATGGAACTACTCAAATATAAATATGCATACATTGATGTTTGGCAAGGCACTTGCGCACAATGAAGTCTTCTTAATTGCCAGCACAATTTCTTTTTTTACTGTTTTTATGTATATTCTGTTTCCTTGGCAGGTCTACACAATCGACACATCTGTTAGTATGGCAGAAGGCCCATTCAAAAATTGGAATACTGAAGTCAAAAGATATAAGTGCCAAACATAGGTGTGGTTTTAGAGTACATCTACACAAATATATTGTTTTCCTTACTTATATGGTTTTCTTATTTCTTCCTCTAGTTACTATAGTATCTTATCCTTAATTGTTTTGACATTTGCCTCCTAAAATTTTAGATCTACAATGTTTAAAATTATGTAGTTTCAGCCATATTTAAACTTAGGTTTACAGAGAAATAATTACATAGAAATTAAATGAATTAATAAAATAATTGTGATTTAATATGTAAATGAACTCTAAGCTTTGTTCATAATGATGAAAAAATGTATTTGGTCATATCTACAAACATGATGAAATAAAATATATGTAACGATAATAATAAATACTAATGTGAAGTTTTTTTGTTTATCTCTGAAAAAGAACCGTAGAATTAAGATAGATTATAATTTTAATTTCAAAAACAAATTATATTAGAAAATAAATATAATATGCCAATTAACAAAATAGAGAAAAAACATTTCAATAAATGTAGAAAATACGTTTGACAAAATTCATCTATTCGTATTTTTAAAAATTCTAGGCCGGGCGTGGTGGCTCAAGCCTGTAATCCCAGCACTTTGGGAGGCTGAGGCAGGTGGATCACGAGGTCAGGAGATCGAGACCATCCTGGCTAACACGGTGAAACCCTGTCTCTACTGAAAATACAAAAAATTAGCCAGGCACGGTGGCGGGCCCCTGTAGTCCCAGCTACTCGGAAGGCTGAGGCAGGAGAATGGCTTGAACCTGGGAGGCGGGGCTTGCAGTGAGCCGAGATGGCGCCACTGCACTCCAGCCTGGGTGACAGGGCGAGACTCCATCTCAAAAATAAATAAATAAATAGATAAATAAAATAAAAATAAAAATTCTAAGCAAACTAGAAATGACGGGTAAATTCCTCAAACTGAAAAAGAATATAAAAAAAATTTAGAGCTAAATTCATACTTGAAAGACTAAATGCTTTCCCCTTGATACTAGGAAGAAAGCATGGATACTGGTTCTTGTCACTTTGTTTAACATTTCCCTAAAAGGGATAGCAATTTGAATAAAGCAAAATACAAGCAAACAAACAAAACAGAAGTATAACGGTTTACATGAAACATCACAGGGGAACCACAAAACAATTACAATAATTAATAAATAAATTTAGTGAGATTAGGTGATATAAGGTTGTATTCTTTCATATTAGCACCAAATAATTGGAACGTGAAATTTAACAAAACCACTCATATTAATGCCAAACAACATAAAATCCTTTTGGAATAAATCTAATAAAGTTGTTTAAGATTTCTACATGAAAAACTATAAAATATTGCCAAGGGAAATTAAGTAATATCTAAATACATGGGAATATATATACTATGTTCATGGATTGGAAGGCTCACTATCAGGAAGATGGTGTTTTTATAGAAACTGAAAATCCAATCTTAAAATTTTTATTGAAATGCAAAGGACCTATGAAAATCCATGGAATTCATAAACTCTTTAAACCTGAGACCTATTATAAAGCTACAGGAATCAAAAGTGTTCATTAAGAATGAACATAAATGTATCCAGAATATATCAATAACTTGTTTGACTTAATAGCAAGACAAATAACTCAATGAGGAAATGGGAAAAAAGTAAACAGACATTTTACCAAAAAAAAAAATGGATGAAAAATAACCATGAGATGCTTGACATCTGCAGTCATTAAGAAAATGTAAATTTAAGCAATAATGTCATACTTTTACAAACTCATTTAGAATGGCTACAACTAAAAAGACAACCATACCAAATGTTGGCAAGGATGTGAAGTAACTGGCACTCACACACTGATGGTGAGAATGCAAAATTTCATAACCACTATGAAAAAAACTTTGGCACTTTCTCAAATAGCTACATGTACACCAACCATATGATCCAGCTACTCCACTCTTACATATTTTTCCAAGAGAAAAGAAAAGACACATCCACACAAAAACTTTCACACAAATGTTTATAGCATCAATTATCCATAATAGACAAAAAGGAAACAACACAAATGCCTATCAATGGATGAATGAATAAATGAACTGTGTTGTATCCATAAAGTTGAATATTATTTAGCAATAAAAAGGAATAAAGTACATGCTACTTTATCCACATGGATAAACCTTGAAATCCTCACAGTAAGTAAAAGAAGCCACGTACCAAAAAAAATCACATATTGTGTGATTCCATTGATATAAACTTCTTGAAAAAGCAAACTAATATATACTTACAGTACACATATTAGTGGTTGTTTGGGTCAGGGTGAAGGCAAGAAGGAAAGTATTGCAAAAGGGTATGAGGAAACTTTTAGTTATGACAAATATGTTAATTATCATGACTATGGCAATGTTTTCACGTATGTCAAAACTGAGCAAATTGTACATTTTGAATTTTAAAATAAGTACAGTTTATTGTGCTTCAATTACACTTCAATAGACAAATCTTATTAAAAATTCCTGAAATTGTGTTTATGATTATGCCTTGGAATTTGGTTTGTGATTATGCCATATATATACATACATATATATATATATACACACACACATATATACACACACACACACACAGAGAGAGAGAGAGAGAGAGAGAGAGTGAGAGAAAGAGAGAGATCTCTCATTCCAGCCTATATCCTTGTCACAAATGGATTGTCTGAATTTTATGAAAAGTATATAGTTCTTATAATGCTAATCTTTCTCTGATATAGACACAGTAAGTCAATCTAAATATGCACATTTATTCTCTACATTGGAACAAAAAATAGACATTAGCACTCTAAATCTGATTCAGTTGCTATGCCAGGCCTAGCCTTCATAATTATAATTACTGAGCTCAGTTATCCACAACTGGAATTGGGAAAAGTACACATCTGCTTTGTCAGGCAACTTTCAGACCCACAGTTATAGGGTTGATGTTTTACAATACAGATACACTCGTTTCTGATAGATGAGGATAGCAAAGTTGAAGTATATTTTATACATTCGATAATGTTTTCAGCAACATCAAAACTACTAATTGTACAAAATATAATGTGAGGGAAAGCATCTATGGCTGTACCTCTGACTCCCAGGTCAATGTATTGCAGTGGAAATTATTGGAAATGATTCTTCAAATTCTTTAGCATTAATTATCTAAACAAAGGGAGTATGCAATACACACAAAGCCAGATATAGCATTAACTTTCTAAGATCCAGATTTTCACTCCAAAAAACATTTATGTGTGTGTGTGTGTATATATATATATATACACACACATATATATATAAACATATAAGTATACATGTATGTCAATGTTTCCAAGGCCAGTTCCTGAAATTATGCTTGCAGATGATCTTATAAAGAAAAAAAAAGTTAAGTGGCTGAGGAGCAAGTATTTTAAACAAAATAATAATTTATTTTATGTAAGCCTAGATGTGCCTACGCTACACTATCTGTGCTAAGTAGGCAGTTCTAATGTGTTCTATCATAGGTGCTATTCCTTTATATTAGAAAGAAATTCAGGCCGACGCAGTGGCTCAGGCCTATAATCCCAGCACTTTGGGAGACCGACGCAGTGGATCACTTGAGTTCAAGAGTTGGAGACCAGCCTGGCCAACATGGTGAAACTCCGTCTCTACTAAAAATATAAAAATTAGCTGGGTGTGGCGGCGCATGCCTGTAATCCCAGCTACTCGGAGGCTGAGGCAGGAGAATCGCTTGAACCTGGGAGGCAGAGGTTGCAGTGAGCCCAGATTGTGCCACTGCACTCCAGCCTCCAGCCTGAGCAAGACTCTGTCTCAAAAAAAAAAAAAGGAAGGGAAAGAGACAGGGAAAGGGAGAAAGAAAGAAAGAAAGAAAGAAAGAAAGAAAGAAGGAAGGAAGGAAGGAAGGAAGGAAGGAAGGAAGGAAGGAAAAAGAAAGAAAGAAAGAAAGAAAGAAAGAAAGAAAGAAAGAAAGAAAGAAAGAAAGAAAGAAAGAAAGAAAGAAAGGAAGGAAGGAAGGAAGGGAAAGAAGGAAAGGAAGGAAGGAAGGAAAGAAAAAGAAAGAAAGAAAGAAAGAAAGGAAGGAAGGAAGGAAGGAAGGGAAAGAAGGAAAGGAAGGAAGGAAGAGAGAAAGGAAGGAAGAAAGGAGAAAGAGAGAGAAAGAAAAGGAAAGAGAAAGAAAAAGAAAGAAAGGAAAGAGAGAAAAGAAAAAAGAAAGAAAGAAAGAAAGAAAGAAAGAAAGAAAGAAAGAAAGGAAGGAAGAAAAGAAAGGAAAAGAAAGAAAGAAGTTCAGTAAACGAGGAGTGTGACTACATGGTAGGAGAGAAAAGGTCACAGGTCAGACAGTTTTCCAATGTTCTGCTTCAAAGTTGTCTACCTGCCTTTGGCAATCTTGGTAATTCCCCTCTTAATACATAGGTGTGTAGCAGATTAATCACTGATTTATTGTCAAAAGAAGTTAAACTTCAATCGAGTTCTCTGCTGGATATTAGAAAGACCTGAGAACATCTTGCCAATTGATTAAAAATAGTAAGATTTACATAAAAGTCTCCTTTTGCTTATCTCTAACCCTTGTTTATTTGTCACTGTACTGCCAACTTTTGCTGGCTCAAATCAGTGAAGACGTTTTCCTTTCAAACATACATTAGAATGATCACTGAAAAGATCCCTGGGAATAAAATGTGTAAAAGTTTTTTTAAAAAATCTGAAGACATAAGACAAAATCACACAATGGGCATATACCGAGAAAATGTTGCAATTAGAGATTGTGATCAAATAAGAGAAATAAATTTGTCAGGTTGTATCTTCATTTAAAAAGACAAATAATTACATTTTACATAGTTAGATAGTTCCATTCTTGATTTTGTTTCTGCTAACGGTTTGAAGAATTAAACTTTCCATATTTCAATTCCCTCTTTCTGAAAGTAAACTAATAATAATAATAATAATAATGTCTCTACTGAGCTATTTATTTCATTCCCATTTAAGATAAATAAAAATGTAACCTCATATCAAATTCTGTTACATCTATTAGCTTCAGTCTCTGAGTATTTATTTCTTTATTTTGAGATGGAGTCTCAGTCTGTTGCCCAGGCTTGAGTGCAGTGGTGCGATCTCGGCTCACTGCAACCTCCACCTCCTGGGTTCAAGCCATTCTCCTGCCTCAGCCTCCCGAGTAGCTGGGATCACAGGCATGGACAACCACACCTGGCTAATGTTTGCATTTTTATTAGAGATGGGGTTTCGCCTTGCTGGCCAGGCTGGTCTCGAACTCCTGACCTCAGGTGATCTGCCCACCTCAGCCTCCCAAAGTGCTGGGATTATAGGTGTAAGCCACCGCACTAGGCCATGTTTGAGTATTTATTACTCAAGTTATAGTTTAACTTCCAAATTATCCAAACTTCAAATTCTATGTAGCATTTATAGATACAGTAAACAGGTCTTTTACAATTTTAAGAATGTATTTAGGCATCAAACGAAGAAATATCAGGGTAATTCTGCAATACTGACTTGCTCAGAGATATCCCAAAAGTCCAAAAGTCAACCCCCAAATGCTTAATGATGTTTTGCAGAAAACGGAAAGATGTGCTTATAGAATATAAAGGCTTTAATTAGTAGAACAAAAACCAGTATTCCATATTGCCCCTCATGGAAGGCATTTTGACTCTTAGCTATTGCACAAGTTGCACATACAGGAGGGCTGTAGGCTCCCTCTCACCCCCACCCCCCAAAAGCAAGCAGTTGTATGCAACAGCACAAGTTTCCAGTTTAATAGACTCCCAGGGAGAAAGGAAAGATTGTTGTACCTGACTGGAATGTCTTTAGGGATTCTCAGTTGTCAAAATTAAATTTCAAAATAATAGTTCAGTTTTTATTGGCCCATTCTTTCTCGTAGGCAGGAAGAAAAGAGGAGTATGCTAACATATCCTATATATATATATGATGTTTATGAAAAAATATTACTCATGGCAGTTCTATAGAATGTCTCCTAGGTTTTATGATTTTGATGAAAGAAAAATATTCAGAGGTTGTCTCTTATGTGCAAAGCACATTTGCAAGACAATAGGCCAGAGGCAGTGCAACAATTTAATGCTTTTGCATTCTCTAAATGGATATATTATACAATAAGAAAAAATAAACTTTGGAACAGCTTGACACTTATATTTGAAAAATAGTTTCTAAGAAAGTGGAACTGAAACATCTTTGGAGAGATCATAGAACAGATGAAAAACATTACTAAGTCATCATGAAGTGTGCAAAAGCCCAATGGGGTGGACAAATTTTGGAACTATACAAAATTAAACCTTTCATGTTTCTATTTTTCAAGGAAATTAGTGTATTCTTATATTAATAGTTTAATTGAATAAGATCCATCCATTTGTTTAATTATTTGCAAATTTTGAGTGCCTGAAGATATCTGGCACTGATTAACCCTAAGAGTTTTGGTACTGTTATAACTGACAATATTAAAAATAAATTTAAATCTGCTGTTTCCTAATAAAATGCATACATTTTTCTTGCCACAGCTATATCTTTTCTAAATAATATAACTTAGCTGTCTTCTACATGCACCATTTATAAAGCAAAGTAATTTTATTCAATACCAGAGCCTTTCCTATTACTTTCTTAAGCCTCTGGAAAATGTTGCCTTTACATGAACTATCAGGTGATTTCCATGAAGCCTTATAGTTTTCTACTCACAGACCATACAAAGCAAAATAAATCATAAAAAAGAAAATAAATAAAAGCTGTAGATATTTGGGCTCATAAATATTCACCAAATGACCACAGCAATACTTCTCTGAAAGTCCCAACACTTTTTAATCTGTGGTGGGACTGTCCTCGCATTTTTCTGAGTCCCTTTGTTTACACTTAATGAATACAAAATTAGAGCCATTGTATACATACTTGAGTTAAATACAAGCAGCTTGTTTATTTGCACAATCATCTCACTGTCTACAGGTTATGTTCATTTGAAAGACAAGCCTATTAACCAAACAGACACTATGGTAATTTTGTAATGGTTTTAATAGACAAAGCAATCCAAATAGATGGATCAACAGTATACTTAGAAGAATAACTGTTGAGGAGGATGGTCACACTGGCAGCTCCCCCAGGACATTTATACATAATTTACTGACACCATATCATTTAGATTTTCTATATGCAACAAGCAATTTTGTAGATCCAGTTCAAAGGTCAGATGATTAAATCAGTTTGCCATCATACATGAGAAAATTAACAATGCATAAATTTCTAATGGTTGTGAACGTTATTCCTTCATCCCTCTGCATCAATTTGAAGAAGAATAAAGAAAAATTCAGAGCTAAATTATGTAAACCTATGAAAGTCTACTACTAATGACATCAGGATAGCTGGCCATACAGGATTTTAGTATAGGAGGAGGCAAACCTGAAAGTTAAGTATTGGGTGATAAAGACATAACCAAGACTGGGAAGAAAAAGAGGTTTAATTGGACTTACAGTTACACATGGCTGGAGAAGCCTCAGAATCATGGTAGGAGGCGAGAGACACTTCTTACATGGCAGTAGCAAAAGAAAATGAGGAAGAAGCAAAAGCGGAAAACCCTGACACACCTATCAGATCTCATAAGACGTATTCACTATCATGAGAATAGCACGGGAAAGACTGGCCCACTTGATTCAATGATCTCCCCCTGGGTCCTTCGCACAACACGTGGGAATTCTGGGAGATACAATTCAAGGTGAGATTTGGTTGGGGACACAGCCAAACCATATCATTTCGCCCCTGGCCCCTCCAAATCGCATGTCCTCACATTTCAAAACCAATCATGGCTTCCCAACAGTCCCCCAAAGTTTTAACTCATTTCAGCATTAACCCAAAAGCCCACCAGTCCAAAGTCTCATCTGAGCCAAGGCAAGTTCCTTCTGCCTATGAGCCTATATAATCAAAAGCTGGTTACTTCCTAGATACAATGGGGGTTCAGGTATTGGGTAAATACAGCTGTTCCAAATGGAAGAAATCATCTAAAAAAAGGGGGCTACAGGGCCCATGCAAATCCGAAATCCAATGTGGCAGTCAAATTTTAAAGCTCCAAAATGACCTCCTTTGACTCCAGGTCTCACATACAGGTCACGCGGATGCAAGAGGTGGGTTCCCATGGTCTTGGGCAGCTCTGCCCTTGTGGCTTTGCAAGGTACAGCCTCCCTTGTGGCTGCTTTCACGGACTGGCATTGAGTGTCTGCGGCTTTTCCAGGCGCAGGGTGCAAGCAGTCAGTGGATCTACCATTCTGGAGTCTGGAGGACAGTGGCCCTCTTCTCACAACTCCACTAGGCAGTGCCCTGGTAGGGATTCTGTGTGGGGGCTCCAACCCCACATTTCCCTTCTTCACTGCCTTAGCAGAGGTGCTCCATGAGTACCCCGCCCCTGCAGCATACTTTTGCCTGGGCATCCAAGTGTTTCCATACATCTTCTTCTAAATTCTAGGCAGAGATTCCCAAACCACAATTCTTGACATCTGTGCACCCACAGGCTCAACACCATGTGGAAGCTGCCAAGGCTTGGGGCTTCCGCCCTCTGAAGCCACAGCCCAAGCTCTACGTTGGCCCCTTTCAGCCACGACTAGAGAGGTTGGGACACAGGGCACCAAGTCCCTAGGCTTCACACAGCATGGGAACCCTGCACCAGGCCCACAAAACCACTTTTTCCTTCTGGGCCTCTGGGCCTGTGATGGGAGGGGCTGCTGTGAAAGTCTCTGACATGGCCTGGAGACATTTTCCCCGTGGTCTTCAGGACTGACATTAGGACAGGGTCTCATTCTGTTGCCCAGTTTGGAGTCCAGTTTCACAGTCACAGCTCACTGCAGCCTTGACCTCCCTGGCTTAAATGATCCTCCCACCTCAGCCTCCCTAGTAGCCAAAAACTACAGGCATGTGCCACCACATCTAGCTACTTTTTTTCTTTTTTTAAACAGATAGAGGTCTCACTATGTTAACCAGGCTGGTCTCAAACTTCTGGGCCAAAGCAATCCTCCCACCTTAGCCTCCCAAAATGCTAGGATTACAGGCGTGAGCCACCATGCCTGGCTGGAGAACATTGTAAACATTTTAAATGCATATATAGGTTTGTGTATGTGTAGATATGTGTGTGTGTGTGTGTGCATGCATCTGTGTGTGTGTGGTGTATATATATCAACGTGTATGTATGTGTCTGTGTGTGTGTATATATATATACACACAATTTAGGGATAAAAATTTTCAATAAAGATTAGAACCATCTTATATAAGGTTGTCAAACTAAAATATTAAGGCACAGTAAAGAAGGATAGTAGATGATCCAGTAGTTCACGGCAGAAAAAAATACAAGTTACCCGTATTTGTAAAATGAATAAAATACTTTGAATGGGTGTGTGGGTGTGTGTGCATGTGCGACTGTAATTCACAAGTAGTAGCTGAACAATTAAATATTTAGCTTACCAATTTGTACTTTGGTTACCTCAGTCATCAGAATAGACCCATTCAATCCCTATCTCTGCATTTGACCTACAAAGAATTTAGCACTTGGGCCGGGCACAGTGGCTCATGCCTGTAATCCCAGTACTTTGGAAGGCTGAGGCCGGCAGATCACCTGAGGTCAGGAGTTCAAGACCAGCCTGACCAACATGGATATGTGTATGTGTAGATGTGTGTGTGTGTGTGTGTGTGTGTGTGTGCGCGCGCGCACATGCATGGACCAACTGTCTCTACTAAAAATACAAAATTAGCTGGATATGGTGGCGCATGCCTGTAATCCCAGCTACTAGGGAGGCTGAGGCAGGAGAATTGCTTGAACCCAGTAGGCGGAGGTTGCAGTGAGCCGAGATTGCTCCACTGCACTCCAGCCTGGGCAACAAGAGCAAAACTCCATCTCAAAAAAAAAAAAAAATAATAATAATAATTTAGCACTTGTTTACCTGAAGCACCTAGTCTACCTGGCAATATTAGAGTAAGGGTGTTTTACAACTATCTGACAAATTCGAGATCATCTCTAAAATTAATCCAACTTAATTTATACAATGTACATTAAGCTTATAATGGTATAAATTGCATCTGCCTTGTCTGATAAGATTTACTCAAACAATAACATATATGAAACAATATTCAACAATGATACAGAACTTTGTGGGGTGAATAGTTCCATCTTAAAACTCACAAATGATTTAGAACAAGTAGAATATCTCAATTCCGGGGAATCAGAAACATGTTCTTAAGTATAGAGTTATTGTTGGGAATTAACTATATCAAGTTTTCCTAGAATACCTATTTCTGCCATTTAACTTACCATTTGTGACTACTATACACATAATAGATGTATTATAAAAATATTGCATTAGAAATAACTATAGGATAAGCATCGTTAATTGGTTAAACTAAAGCACATGTCTATATTATAAATATAAAAATAGCAACATAACTGTGATGAGGAAGAAAATGGCATTGGAAAAAAACATTAGGTTTAAATGATCTTTCTGTTTCGTCAAGTATCTCACAAACAATATGGAATTTAAAATGGGGAAGCGAAAGAGCTTCGTCTTCAATGTAATCTATAGCATCACTTTTTAAAATAGTTCTGTCTTTGCCTGGCTTAAATTAAGATGTGATATCTTTTAACAGTATTCTCTTGTTTTGCTTTTTATGTTTTCTAAATAAACTAAGTACTTAATCATGTTGCAATTTCCACTTGCTGACCCAGCAGTCAGACAAGGTATGGGCCCATACTAATAATGAAATACTAATTTGCAATGTTAACACTTAGGTAAATAACATAAACAATGAAAAATGGAATATAGAATTTTTAAAAACTATATAACATTCAATATTACTGATTACCAATAAAATCCTGCATGCCATTGATATCAAACTGCTATTAATTCACTTCTGTGAGAGGAATGTTAAGAGAAATGGACTAAAATAAAGTAAGTATAGTTTTCTACTCTCCACCTGTTTCCCCTTCTTTAAATAATATCAATAACAATCCTATAGAGGGTGGCATTGTATACAGATACAACTGGAGAAGAATGATCCTGTCCCATCCCCATGTAAAATTAATGATAGATTAATAATAAATAAAAATGTATAACACTTATATAGATATTTTTATAGCTTTTTTATGTACTCGTCAACTTTTATCTGTAACTATGAAAGCAAAATACATATTTATTAGTATGTCTTCATTTCCATAAATTCTCTCAGGTACCTCTTAGATTGGATGCTAAATGAGGGGATGAAACACAAGCCACTTATATTCTAACACTAAATAAACATTTTTTGAGCAACGAGTCTTTACAGCAGAGAGCTGGTTGTTTTTATAAACCTTGCTATAAGTGGGTTGGCAGGTAGAAATTCACAGGACAAATAATTTTGAAAAAAGGCCATTTATTCTATAAATTTATATGTAAATGTTTTTATTTTTCAAGATTTGTGATTTTCGTTGGTGAGTTTTTAATACAAGAAAAAGGTGTAAAAGGGCCTTTACTTCAAAGTTAGGAAAAAGTGACAAAAGCACAATCATAACTTTATTTTTACATACTGTTTTATTTTATGTACTGTTCTCAAGTAAATTGCACAACAGTTTTGGAAAACATATTTTTACTGTGCCTCTCCTAAATAAAATCTATAGCTACTAGTCATTTACAAACAGCCTTTCATAAAGTTAACCATATTCTATAACATAGCCTAGTAAATATTAAAAGTTTTTGAAGAGAGATTAAATTACAAGTCTACTTAGATGTTGAACTAAAAATCAATACTGATAAAATAGCTTTTGAAATAATTATCAAACTCATAAATACCTCTTCCTTTTTAATATATACATATGTATGATAAAATACATATATATGTATACACATTCACATGTACATGTGTGGGGACACACATCATTTTAAAAATATACACAATATATATTAATACTGTATATTTCAAAATTCTCCTTTTGAAATATACTTAGAAATTTTGAAAATATTGTTTATTTATGTCTATAGTTTAAAATATTTTTTTACAATATCTGTTAATCTTGATTCTTACCTCCTTTCACATTTTCTCCTTGAAATTAAAAAAAAAAAAGGAAGAATAGAAGCGCATGGACAGTAGGTAATTTTAATCCTTTCTTAGAAGTGATTCTATAAATGTGCTATGTTAATATAGATATGAATAACTAGGCAGAATATAGAAAAATAGTCCCTTCTTTATTGATAGATCCCAGGCACTATAATAGCATTTTAGTAATGAAGGTATGTATGTCACATTCTCTGCTGAATCATACCACCTAAACCCTTGTTTGTATATTATGTTTAATTATCAACTATTAACAAATTATCAAAACATTTGTGAAATGACTCACAGCAACACTGCATAGATTATCTTTCTGATAAAGTTTCTTATTGTTGTCTCATGGATAAATAGTTCATAAAGAAAAACTACAGATTTTATTTGAGTGAAGTACATTTACGTGCAGCTACTGTCGTTTTGATTAGACTTGTTTTAGCCCTAGAGGGGTGGCTCATGCCTGTAATCTCAGCACTTTGGGAGGCTGAGGCAGGTGGATCACAAGGTCAGGAGCTTGAGACCACCCTGGTCAACATGGCGAAACCCCATCTCTACTAAAAATACAAAAATGTGGTGAGTGCCTATAATCCCAGCTACTTGGGAGGCTGAGGCAGGAGAATCGCTTGAACCTGGGAGGCGGAGGTTGCAGTGAGCTGAGATCATGCCACTGCACTTCAGCCTGGGCGACAAGAGCAAGACTCCATCTCAACAAAAAAAAAAAAAAAAAAAGAAAGAAAGAAAGAAAGAAAAAGAAAAAGACTTGTTTTAGAGTAAAATTGACTTTTTTTTTCAAAACATTCCAAATGGTATCTGTAGATAATACCAGGTATTTACTAAAGGAAAAGAAAAATGAACTGAATTTCATGAAAAATTAAAATGTTTACTTACATTACCAATCAAAGAGGAGAGGTGAAAATAATCTATATGTAAATGCAATTTCAAGGGCATACACCCTGCTATTGCCATTAACAATTAGCCAAAACATTTGCATCCTAGATTGAACATTCTCCTCTGTCCAATAAAATTAAAATGTGTTGTGTACATGTGAAGCCTAGGAAAATTGGTGGTAAGAAACATAATGTTGATGGAAGGCCTCACTTTGAGATTTCTTTTTGTATACTCCTAAAAGTATTAGGAAATTGGAATTCTGATATAGTTATTTCTGCATACAAATACTGTTCAATACATTATGAAACTGATAAAAGACACTAATTCAGTAGAATAATATGAAACTAAATATTTGGATCTCAATATAATGCTATGAATGATTATCCATTGTACATTATGACTATATTGAATGGTCATTTAATTTTAGGGCTCTGATACATTGGACACTTTTTAAGTCAAGACGAATATAAGAACTAATAATTACAATGTGCTTTGATACCCTAGGCTATTACAATATTCAGAGAATATATTATATTTGATATTATATTTCCAATGCACATATTAATGCATACTTGAGAAAAATATCCATTAATTGTTAATTTTAATTTTATGTTTATATTTAATTTTAAAGTATTTTTATTCTTTAATTTTTAAATTATAGAATTTTAATGGCATACTATATTTATGCTGCCATAATTTATGGAAAATAATAACGAAAATAGATTCTGATGCTAGAGTAAAACTGAGGACATGCCAGTTTTCATAACATACCATTAAAAAAAGCCTTTATAGAACATTATGCTTTCAGCACTATTCACAATAGCAAAGACAAGGAATCAACCCAGTTGCCCATCAATGACAGAATGGATAAAGAAAATGTGGTACATATCCACCATGGAATACTATGCAGCCATAAAAAGGAATGAGATCATGTCCTTTGCAGGGACATGGATGGAGCTGGAAGCCATTATCCTTAGTAAACTAATGCAGGAACAAAACCAAACACTGCATGTTCTCACTTATAAGTGGGAGCTGAACAGTGAGAACACATGGGTGCAGGGAGGGGAACAATACACACTAGGGTCTGTCGGGGGTGGAGAGGAGGGGGGACGGAGAGCATCAGAAAAAATAGCTAATGGATGCTAGGCTTAATACCTAGGTGAAGAGATGATCTGTGCAGCAAACCACCATGGCACAGGTTTACCTATGTAACAAACCTGTGCATTCTGCTCATGCGCCCTGGAACTCAAAATAAATTAATAAATAAATAAAACATTATGCTAAGTGAAAGATGCCAGTAACAAAATATCACATATTATATTATTTCATTTATATGAAATATCCCGAATAAGCAAATCTTTTGATACAGAAAGATTAGTGGTTGCTAGGAGCTGGGTTGACAGGTGGGTAGAATGGTAGGATTGGGGGTGACTTTTAACAGGTATGGTGTTTCTTTTGGGGTTGAGGAACATATTTTAAAATTAATTGTAGTGGTAGTTGCAAAATTCTGTGAATATACTAAAAGCCATTTAGTTGTGCACTTTAAATGGGTCAATTGTATGGTATGTGATTTATATCCCAATGACTCTGTTGCCATGAAAAGGATCTTATATACTAAAACATATATGAAAACGTTTTTCTTATTTTAATGGCATCTTAGAAGAAACCTATATGCTTCATTGCCTGCTAGAACTAAGGACAACATAGTACTTGGCAACCATTAAAGCTGCTTGAAGTTGAGCTTTGCTACAGCAGACATTCTTCAACTTAAATTGTAAGCTCTCCAAGATGACTTTTTTAAGGGACAAAAAGACTATGTTTCCATTATTCTATAGGTTAACAGAAATCAACCAAGTTTATTTTATAACAATACTTAATATGCATACTAATGGTATGTGTGTATATGTATACACTGCTGTCTATGTATATATTTGCTTGTAGTATAAGAAGACTAACTGGGCATAGTGGAGTGTGCCTGTAGTCCCAGCTACTTGGAAGGCTAAGGTGGAAGGATCCCTCAAGGCCAGGAGTTTGAGGCTTCAGTGAGCCATGATTGGTCCTTTGAATAGCCACTGCACTCCAGCCTGGGCAACAATATGAGATTCTGTCTCAAGAAAAAAAAAAAAAGAAAAAAGAAACAAAAATGACGAGTAGAGAAAACCTGCAGGCCTATTAGATTTGATTTATTATTGTGAAGGTAAAAATTTTTAGGGAAAATGAAAATATCCACTTCCTACCCCTTCCCAAATTTATTATCATAGCAGATAGTAGATAAAGTGATCCTGTTTAAAGAGAAAACTAGCTCATATAATTCCTCTGCTCAGCACCTACCAAAGGGTTTCCCGTCACACTCTGATTAAAAGTTAAAGCTCTTAAAATGCCCTGCAAGGCTCTATCTACAACAGGGGTCAGTAGGCAGTTTCTGTAATTGAACAGATAGCAAATATTTCAGGCTTCATGGGGCCCCATCATGTCTTTTGCAACAACTCAGTTATACCCCTGTGGGATGAAAGCAGCCACAGGCAGTATGAAAAAGAATGAGCATGGCTGGATTCCAATAAACCTTTATTTATGGAACTAAAATTTGAATTCAACAAGATTTTCACATGTGAAGTAACATTTTTCTTGGGCTTATTTTTTAACCATTTAATACATGTAAAAATTATTCTTATCTCCTGAGGTACCTAAAAAGAAGTGCAGTTTGCACTTCCTACTCTACAAGATCTGATCCCCTGTTGCCTCTCTGACCTTATCTCCTATTCCTCTTCCCTTTGTTCCTCGGGCTCCAGAGATTCTGGTATTCTTGCTGTCTACGTCACACATACATCTAGTGCCTTTGTATTTTTGCTCCTTCTGTTTGGAATAAGCTTCCCCCAAATAGCCACATGATTACTCCCTCAAGTCTTTCAAATCTTTGCTCAGAAGTCACCTACAATTTCAACAAGATGTTTGACTTTTATTTCTTTGCTTTGCTAATGAATAGTGCTTAACAGCTAATATGGGACTAATTAGTATTCCAGTGTCTTAATTTGAACACATAAGACTTCCTTGCCATGTGCTTGTAATTTGCAAATGAAAACCAATTATTGACTGAATAATTACAAGTGAGCAATCTATCACTCTCTCCAAAATATTTTTGTTTAGAGATAATGACATTTTTTTTGCATATGTCATCTTTAAATTACAGTATGTGTGTTCTCGACTCTGCTATTACTTTCTCATTATCAAAGATTGGCAGCTCAGATTTTCTTCACCAAGATAATAATTTTCATTCCAATTATACACAAAAGGCAGATCCTCCAATTGACTTCATGTATTCCACCATACACACACACACACACACACACACACACAAACATGCACACACATCTATGTACATAATGATCACAGGACTAAAGTCAGAGCTACAGGGTACTGTACAGCTTGATTTTTATTAGCATATTATACTCTCTCCAAGAAGACATATAATAATTTCCTTGGGCAGTGTTCACAATAATATTTATAATGAAACATAAACCCTATTCTTGCACCAGCACTTGAGGGACATATTTTATCACTCTTATTGGAATAATAAAACAGAATATTAATGAAATGTAGTACCTTCCTTCCTCTCACCAAAAAAAGAAATCATGCCTACCACATAGAATCTTTTACTGTACAAAATCATCATGGCCTATACAATAAAGAGTGCTGTTACTATACTTGAAGAAATTATTCATTCCTGGATGGGATATTCATTTCTTAGAAATAATGGACTTCGTTACACTATCATTGTGACAAAATGGATGTGATGAGACAATGAATGATGCTATTTGCCCTTTTAGTTAAGAGATATTGAAGAGAGGAACAGAAGGTAGGATAAAAAACTCTGAACTCAGAGAAGACGAATAAAACGATTCCACTATAAAATGCATTAAAGCTGCTGTTTCATTAGTTCATAGTAAAATGGGGAACTAAAATCCAACAGACTACCATTTTTAATACAATGAAAACACTCTCTCTCTAGGACCTTATTTTTATTTCCAAATATATATATTTATTTGTAATATCTAGAAATAGTCCTTCCTGTTGTCAGAGGCATTTGAACCTGAGCAACTCCATCTTGAATAGGGGCTGGGTAAAATGAGACTGAGTCCTACTGGGCTGCATTCCCAGATGGTTAAGGCATTCTAAGACACAGGATGAGATAGGAAGTGGGCACAAAATACAGGTCATAAAGACCTTGCTGATAAAGCAGGCTGCAGTAAAGAAGTCAGCTAAAACCCGCCAAAACCAAGAAGGCAACAAGAGTGACCTCTGGTTGTCCTCACTGCTACATTCCCCCCAGTGCCATGACAGTTAACAAATACGTGGTAACATCAGGAAGTGACCCTATATGGTCGAAAAAGAGGACACATGAATAACCCACCATTTGTTTAGCATATAATCAAGAAATTACCATAAAAATGTCTATGGAGTAGCCATTTTTGTATTCCTTTACTCTCCTAATAAACGTGCTTTCACTTTACTCTATGGACTCACCCCAAATTTTTTCTTGCACAAGATCCAAGAATCCTCTTTTGAGGTCTGGATCGAGACCCCTTTTCGGTTACACCTTTCTGGCAACTAAACATACTCTCGTCTTTTTTTTGCTTGTTTTGTAAAACGTATTGTCAAAGTAATTAGTTTCATTAAGAAGAAAACATCATTCTGTGAAAGGAAAAGAAATCTTGGGACCCCAAAATCCCTAAGGTAAAAAGAAATGTCAAGCTGGGAACTGCATCAGGCAAACCTGCCTCCCATTCTATTCCTAAATATGATAGTTACAAAAATTAAAAAAACAAACAAACAAACAAAAAAAACGACATACCTCCCTCACAATTTGCCCACAAGGAAATTCCTTGTAGACAAAGGACAGGCAGAACTCAAAGTCATCCCTCTGCTCATGTGAGACAAATGCATATCTGATTGCTTCCTTTACCCTATTGTTTCACTAACCTAGACTTAGGCATAAATGATTATTCCTGTAAATTGTGCATTCCGTGAAATGCTAATCAGAAACTCAAAAGAATGCAATTGTTTGTCTCTTATCTACCTATGACCTGAAAGTCCCCTCCCCACTTCAAGTTGTCCCACCTTTCCGGACTGATCCAATGTATATCTTACATATATTGATAGAAGGCTCATGTCTCCCTAAAATGTATAAAACCAAGCTGTACCCCTACCACTTTGGGCACATGGCATAGGACCTCCTGAGGCTATGTCATGGGTGCATCCTTAACCTTGGCAAGATAAACTTTCTAAATTGATTGAGACCTGTCTCAGATACTTTTTGGTTTACAGTCCATTTCCAGAATACATGTGTATTGTTTCCCTCTTGAAATAGTCTGTCCATCTCTATGCACAGTCCATTTGTATTGTTCTTGTATTCTAAGATACGTGGTTTCTCATAAACAATAAAACATTTGGCAGGGAGCGGTGGCTCACGCCTGTAATCACAGCACTTTGGGAGGCCGAGGCGGGGTGATCACCTGAGGTGGGGAGTTCAAGACCAACCTGACCAACATGGAGAAACCCCAACTCTACTAAAAATACAAAATTAGCCCGGCGTGGTAGCAGGCTCCTGCAATCCCAGCTACTCGGGAGGCTGAGGCAGGAGAATCGCTTGAAGCCAGGAGGTAGAGGTTGTGGTGAGCTGAGGTTGTCCCATTGCACTCCAGCCTGGGCAACAAGAGTAAACTCCGTCTCAAAGAAACAAAGAAAAAAAATAAACAGCAAAAAGTCACAGTTGCTTATGATTCCAGGTATCTGTGAAAAGTTTCAAAATAATTTCCTAAAAGTACCTGAATTTTTATCCAGACTAATGTGAACAAAGCATTCAGACTTGATAATAGCAAAATATAAATTATCATTCACGATTCATAAAGGATGTCAGAACTAGTTAGCATAATGGCATTAGACATTTTTGTAAGCTAATTACCACATTTTTAAAGTCTAAAATCTACTTGATGTGATTGTATTCTCTTCATATATAAACGAATGTGCAATGTCATTAATTATAAAATTATTTTACATGAAATTTAAAATTTCAAAATGCACTTTTCCACTTAAGAAACTCTTAAAAAGACTAGTCATGAATATTGAATTTGGTGTTGTTTTGCTTCTAAACATGTACTTCCTTGATGGCATTTTTAAATATTAAGAAATGTCAGAATTTAAAATTATTAATTGAAAAGGATTTGAATTCTTGTTAATCCAATGGAGTTTATTTTTCTGTTAATTATTTACATTAGAACAAACTGTGAATGATGCTGAAAATTAAAGAAAAATTATCTCATGTCATACTGTGGCAGGCCAGGTCTCAATAACGCAGGCTCCCATAACAACTGTTTCAGTACTGACTAAGCAGTTAAGTTAAACATATACATATATATATATATATATACATATATATATACATATACATATATATATACATATATATATATATATATATACATATATATATATTTCTTTTTTTCTTTTGAGACGGAGTTTCACTCTGTCGCCCAGGCTGGAGTGCAGTGGCGTGATCTCGGCTCGCTGCAACCTCTGCCTCCCGGGTTCAAGCGATTCTCCTGCCTCAGCCTCCCAAGTAGCTGGGACTACGGGCACACACTACCACGCCCAGCTAATTTTTGTATTTTTAGTAGAGACGAGGTTTCACCATGTTGGCCAGAATGGTCTTGATCTCTTGACCTCTTGATCCAACTGCCTCGGCCTCACCAAAGTGCTGGGATTAAAAGCGTCGTGAGCCACTGCGCCTGGCTTTTTTTTTTTTTTTTTTTTTTTTTTTTTTTTTTTTTTTGAGACAGAGGTTTGCTCTTGTTGCCCAGGCTGCAGTGCAATAGCGCAATCTTGGCTCACTGCAACCTCTGCCTCCCGGGTTCAAGTGATTCTCCTGCCTCAGCCTCCCGAGTAGCTGGGATTACAGGCCCCCACCACCACGCCCAGCTAATTTTTTTTTTTTTTTTTTGTATTTTTAGTAGAGACGGGGTTTCACCATGTTGGCCAGGCTGGTCTCGAACGCCTGACCTCAGGTGATCCTCCCACCTCGGCCTCCCAAAGTGCTGGGATTATAGGCGTGAGCCACTATGCCTGGCCACCAGTTAAATATTAAAAGCTAAAAAAGCCAGTGCCCTTATACAAAGGCTGGAATGTAACAAAAGCCCACCAAGAGTTTTGCCTAGGCCTTTCCTAGGCCTTAAAACATGACAAAATAACAAAGGAATTCTTAACAAGGCCCATTTAGGATTTTATTGGGGGTCTGAAGAAACTCCCCAGTCCTCCAGGAACTCCCCAAACCTCCGTGATTTAGCAGGAGACAAGATAAGGGTAATTACCCTAGCACCTGGACCCATTTGGATTAAGTAAATGTACTGAGGCTCTAGAGGAAGATCTTCAGAACTCAGACCTTACTTATAGATCAAAAGAAGTTAATCACTTATGTCTTTAAATGGATGCACATTTACAGGTAGACATATAGCTTAGAAGGTATATAAGCTCTGGAAAACTTTGTAATTTTGAGTTGGTGTGGAGATAAATTCCACGCCTCCTCCCTGTAACCGGTTGCAGAAATAAAACTCTCTTCCTTCCCAGTTCATCTGCATCTCCTTATTGGGCTGCGAGAAATAGCAGCCCGACCCTCAGTTTGGTCCGGGAACAAAATTAAGTTATTTCCTCACCTGACTCAAGGGAAAGTTTATAACTCTTGCTGTGTTTCACGTAAGTAAATCCTCCTTAACATTTATTTTCTTTTTCTATCTCTTGATTTAAAATTCAAATCCATAAAAATTCAAACCCATAAAAAATGTCCTCACTTTAGGACTTGGAAGGTAAAATCAACACTGTACATATCTTTAAGCTCAATAAATATCAATCACAGTTAATAGAATAAAACTATTCGTTTTTTAAATGGTGGAATCTAAGACATTAGAAATCCATCTTGTTCAGGCAATAATTCAGTAATGTACATTCAAGTATATATCATGATTCAGAGTATATTGTCTTTAATATTATGAGGGCATCCTGTTAAGTGGTAATGTGTTTTGTACCCATAACTGAAATTTTCACAGGAAGTTGCATTCCAACAAACACCTAAAATGAGAAGGTGTATATGGGTTTTTTTTTTTACATATTTCCATGGATATTCTTTTCAAGTAGTAGTAGGGTATCTGTGCAAAAAATGAGTTAATATTCTTTTTCTAGGTCGTTGTACCTACTGTACCATAAAAAGAATGTCGAGTATATCAAACAATAATCATATAAAATGGGTTCCATTAACATAAAATTATATATTCTTATCACAAAGCAATGTGCTTGCAATTGCAATTAATGTGATACAGATATAAAATTAAGTATCCCAAGAAAAATTTAAAGACCTACTTTTTTCTTTAATAATATTGATACTGATTCAATAATAGATTTTTTTTTTTTTTTTTTTGAGACAGAGTTTCACTCTTGTTGCCCAGGCTGGAGTGCAATGGCACAATCTCGGCTCACCACAACCTCTGCCTCCCTGGTTCAAGCGATTCTCCTGCCTCAGCCTCCTGAGTAGCTGGAACTACTCAGAATGTGCCATCATGCCTGGCTAATTTTGTATTTTTAGTAGAGATGGGGTTTCTCCATGTTGGTCAGGCTGGTCTCGAACTCCTGACCTCAGGTGATCTGCCCACCTCGGCCTCCCAAAGTGCTGGCATGATTACAGGCATGAGCCACCGTGCCCGGCCTCAATAATAAATTTTTTTTAAAGATGTAAACTGCTAACAGTTTTTCTACTGATCTAGTAGAAACATGCTAAAACATGGTTAGACTAGATGGCTAGTCAAGGAATTTTTGTAAGAAATGAAAATATAGGAGTAAATAAGTGAAATGCTTTACAATAATAACAGAAAGCAAGAATTTTGTCAATATGTGCCAAATTTTTGTTTAATGAATAATAGATTACCAATATTAAAAATGTTGTTCTGATTGTCCTGATGTTACATATGTGCATATATTACATGTATTTTATATGTGCATATATTGCTGATATTTTAAACATACATATATAGGGATTTATATTACAATAAAATCAGATCCTAAATTTGGAAATGTGTGTGTGTGCATGTGCGTGTGCGTGTGCGTGTGCGCATATAAGCCATTTACTCACGAAAAGTACAAACTATCTCACAGAATGATGTTGTTGGGGTTAAAAACACACTACCCCCAAATACAGCATCTTGGCATATTGAATATTTTATGTGGAAGAACTTTGAAAAAAGACAGGTACAGAAAGAACTCTCAGACCTTTCTGTCTCCCATGGAGCTATTCATGAGATCCTTATGTGAGCCCTCCCTACCCCTGAAGGAAAGAAGTATCCTCTCTCTTAAGAGAAGGGAGGGATGCCTACAGGAATCTGAGAAAACAGGTCTTTCTAAGTTTCCCTCATTTTACTAGCCTTAGCGCATACCTTTTTGGTCATATAGCATTTTTCTACAACATTCCACCTTTCCTCAAGCCTAGTTTAAAAACACTCAGGCTTAACCGCTTCTTTGGATTTCATTTCCTCATGAAGTCTCCCTTGTCCTATAAAACTTATACTAAATAAATTTGTATGCTTTTCAGTTTTTAGTTAGTCTTATGTCAGTTTGGTTTATGGGGCCACAGGCAATAAACCTAAAATGGGTAGAAGGAAGAGACTCTTTTTTGGCACGGAGGTGGGGGACGGAGTCTCGCTCTGTTGCCCAGGCTGTAGTGCAATGGCACGATCTCGGCTCACTGCAACTTCTGCCTCCCAGGTTCAAGCAATTCTCCTGCCTCAGCCTCGTGAATAGTTGGTATTACAGGCGTGCACCACCATGCCTGGCTAATTTTGTATTTTTAGTAGAGACAGGGGCTTCTCCATGTTGGTCAGGCTGGTCTTGAACTCCTGACCTCATGATCCGCCTGCCTCGGCCTCCCAAAGTGCTGGGATTACAGGCGTGAGCCACCGTGCCTGGCCTAGGAAAAGACTTTTTTCCCCTCCCCTACAATGTTAAGGAAATTAATTAGAAATATACACTATTTATGGTATTCATTTCCAGGTGAAAACTGAATAAAAATAAGAATTCTTAATTGTTATTTATTTATTTTCTTGATATATATGGCAAACATCCATTTCAACAATGAAAATTATAATAATTATAATGTCCTGTATATGTTTGCATTCCTAGGTATGTCCAGAATATTATGCTGCTATAATATTAATTATATCACCTGAGAAAACCTCTTCTATTAATAGGAAATTATTGTAATAGAAAATGTGAAATGAATCAATTTTGACACATAATCTGCCTTTTGTTCATTTATTTTTTTTAATTTGTAAAAAATTATTTTCTGATTAAACAGGAATCATCTTATAAAACTAATGCTGAGGCCAGGTGTGGTGGCTGACACCTGTAATCCCAGCACTTTGGGAGGCCGAGGCAGACAGATCACCTGAAGTCAGGAGTTTGAGACCAACCTGGCCTACATGGTGAAACCCCCGTCTCTACTAAAATTACCAAAATTAGCCAGGCGTGGTGGCACACACCTGTAATCCCAGCTACTCTGGAGGCTGAAGCAGGAGAATCACTTGAACCCGGGAGGCAGAGGTTGCAGTGAGCCGAGATCGTGTCATTGGACTTCAGCCTGGGCAACAACAGGCAGACTCAGTCTCCAAAAAAAAAAAAAAAGACTAATGCTGAGAGATTGCAGGCAAGAGTCCTATTTTTTTTTTAGTTATTTGTGTCTTTCTTTTCTGTCCAAGGCACAATTCCTAGAACATTATTTTTCAGCAGGTGTATTCCATACTGACTGAAATCCAAGGAAAGTGAGTTTAGAGATGTAAGATCAATTATTTATTTTCTCTTTCAGTAAATACCACTTAGTGCATGCTCCCATCAGAAGACTATTTTACGTTTGTAAAGCATTTAATAGTATTTCAAATTGCTTCCACATTCATTATAATTAACTGTAGCACCTTACTTGCATCCATTGGTGAAAGAATTAAAAGAATAGAAATTTTACACATATAATTACAAATCTTCACATACCAAATAGAGAATCAAGCTAATTCTAATCAAAATGTCTGCTTCTGAGACAAAATTACTCTTTTGGCTTACTCTTTTGTAATAACTAGCTCCCCACTTCAACCATAGTCTAACTTATTCAATAATCACCATAACAGTAACATAAAACCAATAGCTTTGCATTAAATTGATACTTTAGGTTTGGGTAGAGTTATGTGACTCTTAGAAAGGGGGAAGGGTAAGGCTGGGTGTGGTGGCTTATGCCTGTAATCACAGCACTTTGGGAGGCTGAGGTGGGCAGATCATGAGGTCAGGAGCTCGAGATCATGCTGGCTAACATGGTGAAACCCCGTCTCTACTGAAAATACAAAACAGTTAGTCTGGCTTGGTGGCACGCACCTGTAGTCCCAGCTACTTGGGAGGCTGAGGCAGGAGAATCCCTTGAACCTGGGAGGCAGAGGTTACAGTGAGCTGAGATCAGGCCACTGCACTCCAGCCAGGGCGGCAGGGCGAGGCTCCGTCTCAAAAAAAAAAAAAAAAAAAAGTGGGGGGAAAGATAACTATGTGGCTGCTTCTGATGTGATACTTAAATTATTTATTTAAACCCTGACGAATTTCAAAAAGGATTTAAGACTGCTGTTTCAATTCTCAAAATACAATTGCAGCATAATTATAACCAAATACTATAATCAATCTAATTTAACAGTGGAGGGAATAAAGCAAATGAATCCAGGAATTGGGGTATTCAAATTTTTGGCTGGTACGGAAAGCACTCATTATTAACATCTATATTAGAGGAAAATGAAAACACCAATAAATGACATGGCATATTACAGCACCTATTAATATTTATAACATATAATTTAATAACTATACATTTTAACAATATACATAGGGGCTTGGCAATGAATACACTGGATAAAACATATATGTTTACTAGTAGTAATAATTAGATTCATATATCTCTGTTTTTCATACTATCCTAAAATCATTTTCATTATTTACATAGGATGAGTTTTCAAACACTTATGAACATTTCTGCACTAGATATGCTCATTAAGAAAGATTAAAATGAAAAAGGAAAGACTTGTCTTGAATTACAACTGAATCAAACAGTGAATTTAATAAAAATCATGCTTTTAGGCAACAAAAATCAGCTTCCATTGGTGAAATACTGACATCATTGGCAATGAAACTTTTTTTTTTTTAACATATTTCAAACAAAGGTAAGAAATACATATTCCTCTGAGAACATCAATTATATTATTTTTAAAATTAGATTCTCCCATACTTTAAATTTTTTCCCCTCAAAACCCAATCTAATACACACACACACACACACACACACACACTCCCCACATATCTTCAATCTGGTAAAAAATTTATTTAAAATCAAAAAAGAGATTTTTTTAAAATTTATTTTAATTTTTTTATTTTTTATTTTTTATTTTTTGAGACAGAGTTTTGCTCTTGTTGCCCAGACTGGAGTGCAATGGCATGATCTCAGCTCACTGCAACCTCTGCTTCCCAGGTTAAAGCGATTCACCTGCCTCGGCCTCTGGAGTAGCTGGGATTACAGGCATGCGCCACCACACCCACTAATTTTGTATTTTTAGTAGACACAGGGTTTCTCCATGTTGTTCAGGCTGGTTTCAAACTCCTAACCTCAGGTGATCCACCTGCCTCAGCCTCCCAAAGTGCTGGGATTACAGGTGTGAGCCACCACTCCCGGGGAGAGAACGTTTTTATATTTTCAATGTTTAATCAAAACATTTGTGACTGTCATGATGTATTAAACAGTAGGAGAACATAAATGCATATGTGCTTAGAAAGCAACAATTCCTCTTCAATTGTTAAGGATTACTTTGGTGCTGTCTTGAACTAATCAGAAAACGCAGTTTATAATCTTATTTTATTTTATTTTATTTTTTTTTTGAGACAGAGTTTCATTCTTGTCACCCAGGCTGGAGTGCAATGGTGCAATCTTGGTTTACTGCAACCTCCACCTCCCGGGTTCAAGCAATTCTTCTGCCTCAGCCTCCCGAGTAGCTGGGATTACAGGCGCATGCAACCACAACCAGCTGATTTTTGTATTTTTAGTAGAGACGAGGTTTCACCATGTTGGCCATACTGGTCTTGAACTCCTGACCTCAGGTGATCCACCTGCCTCGGCCTCCCAAAGTGCTGGGATTACAGGCGTGAGACACTGCGCCCAGCCTCAAGTTTACTTTTAAAAGACTAGCAAATGTAGGGGGGTGGAGGGAGGGGGAAGGAATAGCATTAGGAGATATACCTAATGTAAATGACGAGTTAACGAGTGCAGCACACCAACATGGCACGTGTATACATATGTAACAAACCTGTACATTGTGCACATGTACCCTAGAACTTAAAGTAAAATAAAAAAATAAAAAACAAAAACAAACAAACAAAAAAAGACTAGCAAATGTCCTATAAATATTAGTAACATCCTTAAAAGGGCAAACATTTATCATGAGGTCAAAAATAATTTAGTTCACTTCAAGAAAGTTCCATATAAGGAACTCACAATAATTACTATTGTCTACTGTTACATAATGTACCTATGAAGCAATGAGACAGATAATAACTAAGTCATCAAAACTAAGTCATCAAAACCAGTCTTATTACTTTTAGTTAGACCTTGTGTAACAATGACAAACAAAACTCTCCCATTTGTGTTTGGATATGGAAGAGTATGCCTGCGGCAATGTCAAATTTTTGAGACCTTTATAGGAATTTAAAATACATATAATCAATATGAATAACTTTATTGCATGCATTACCATTGTAATTTTTTAATGCCACTGTTTTGACTAAAAGGACATAATATCACTAATGTTGAAGATATTATATTTATAAGCATTATCATGTTAATATATTTTCATATTTGATTGGAACGTTCCTTAATGGATTATAGAACTAAATGTTGCCTGCCTCTCCTATACTATTATTTTCTAATAATTCAATATTAAATTGCATTTGTTATTCTTTCAATCAGAAAGCACGATGAAACAGTATGTACATAAAATTTAAATCTATTCATCCATTCATGCAACAAATGTTGAGTTCATACTATGTGCCAGACATTCTTTAGGCAGTAGAAATACAGTGATGAGCGAGACAGACATGTTCCCTAACCCACATGGAGCTCACAATTTAGTAGGAAAGATAAGCAACAAACAAACAAATGCATAAATAAATCAGAGATCACAAATTGGACTCCCAGGGACAGAAATGTTCAGCAGACATGTTTTGTCTGGTCTGCATTTTAGTTCAAATATATTAATTGTTTTACAACATGAAAAAATATGGAATATTTACATTAACATTCAGATTCCCTGTTTGTCTTGAAAACCTTGGGATGCTTTCAACATAGGCCCTACTCCCAAATGGCCTGGGACTAAATAGCTATTGCCAATTTTAGATCCAGAATGTCATCTCCAGTGCTAGTCACACCTCTTGCGGTATTATACTAGGCCTATTTTTTTTTTTTTTTTAAATGGAGTTTTGCTCTTGTTGCCCAGGCTGGGGTGCAGTGGTGCGATCTCACCTCACTGCAACCTCCGTCTCCCAGGTTCAAGCGATTCTCCTGTTTCAGCCTCCTGAGTAGCTGGGATTTCAGGTATGCACCACCACGTCCAGCTAATTTTGTATTTTTAGTAGAGACAGGGTTTCTCTCTGTTGGTCAGGCTGGTCTCCAACTCCAATTTCAGGTGATCCGCCCGCCTCAGCCTCCCAAAGTGCTGGGATTGCAAGTGTGAGCCACCACACCTGGCTTGTACTAGGCCTATTTTACCCATTTATTTCACCTGCCTTGGCTCCCGTGGCACCTGAGTTGTAACCACTGAAGTATATCTTAATTATAATATGTGACACATAAAATAGAGGAAAAGAAGAATAAGGTAGCACAACAGAACTGACTTAATAGATAGTAGCGTTATAGACAGCATCTCTAAGGAAATGACTTTTAAGCTGCAACTTGAAGTATGAGAAGTATGGTGGGTGTGGCAGTGTCCTAGGCAGAAAACAGAGCAAGGGCAAAGACACAGAGGCAAGACAGCACTTCCCTTATTTGATAAAAATTAAAAATGGAGACCAGTGTGCCTGGAATATATAGTAAGCAAGGAGGAAAGTGGAATGACATAGAAAAGAGTCAAATCAGGCAGGATATTGTAGGTCATTGTAAAGATTTGAGTTTTATTCTAAATGGATTGGGAAGACATTATTATTTAGGTTTTGAATAACATTCTATCTATTCTGAGAAGAATGTGATTGATGAGATGTGAGAATGAAAGTTTGCGAGACTCTAGGATACTGATACAAGAGTGTGTGGTGGATGGCCAACGGCCTGATTTAGTGTGATATCAGTAAAGATGGAGAGAAGTTGATGAGTATGACAGAGTTTGGAGGCAGAATAAATAGAGTCTGGTGAGGGACTGAATCTAGGTTGGAGTAGAAGAAATAAGGAGAGAAACTGGGCCAGTATTAGTACCATTTAATGAAATAGAGATGATGAAGAAGGAACTAGGTTTGGTGCAGCAGAAAAGGAGAGTCATATGCATAGAAATGGTATTTAATACCATAGGATATGATACCATCAAGAGAAAGGTCTTAGAAAAAAAGTAGATGGTGGCCTAGTACTGACCTCTGAGAAACGACACTTACAGGTCGAGTAGGTGGTGTGACAATGATAAATTGTATGGTTACTGCCCACAAGAAACTTACAGTCTTCTAATATATACAAAAATCACTAGATTGTGATGAACCAAGTAGTAATAAGAACATGCTGTGGTGAGTTAGAGAAGGGAAGTAGTATTTATCTAGGCGGAGAAAATCAAAGACAACTTGGTAGAGAAAATTGGTTGGCATTACAGAAAAAGTTTACATAGGCCAACATGCAGTGGGTGAGGATTGGGACAGGAATTTCAGGTGAGGAATAAACTTTCCCCAAAATGTGATACAGGACAGTGTTCATGCTCCAGAAACCATAGTTGCCGTAGTTAAAGCATAGGGTAAATGGTTAAAGCAAAGGGTAGATGGAGGGCAATACATTCAGATTATGATTTTCCTTTATGTATGTATGTATTTATTTAAATTTATTTATTGAGATGGAGTGTCGCTCTGTCGCTCAGGCTGGAGTGCAGTGGCATGATCTCAGCTCACTGGAACCTCCACCTCCCAGGTTCAAGCAACTCTCCTGCCTCAGCCTCCCGAGTAGCTGGAATTACAGGTGCCCGCCACCATTCCCAGGTAAGTTTTGCAATTTTAGTAGAGACAAGGTTTCACCATGTTGGCCAGGCAGGTCTCAAACTCCCGACCTCAGGTGATCCACTCGCCTCGGCCTACCAAAGTGCTGGGATTACAGGTGTGAGCCACTGCCTGCTCCTGGCCCAGATTACGATTTTCTTAAATGTAAACATTAAGTACTCAAGAATATCACTTGGCCTTCATTCTTACTATACCACTATTTAATGTGACATCCATTGATTCTTTTATTTTTTTCTTTTCTTTGTAGAGGAATTTCTAGTAAGTTTCATAAATATAATAGGCATGTTAAGTATGACAGAAAGAAACACACATTATGAACTAAAGACTTATCATAGAAGCAATTTAGAAACTGGTCATGAAAACACCAACCAGTTCATGGCTCAATAATTTCAAACCTTGTTTCCCAAATAGTTTCATTATATTTATTTCAGGGATAGGAATAATGTTGTGGTTAACATTGTGGTTGGATTTGGTTTTTCAAGAGGTGACTGCGGCTGGGCACAGTGACTCACACCTGTAATTCCAGCACTTTGGAGGCTGAGGTGGGCAGATCACCTGAGGTCAGGAGTTCGAGACCAGCCTGGCCAACATGCCAAAACCCCATCTCTACTAAAAATGCAAAAATTAGCCGGGCGTGGTGGCAGACACCTGTAATCCCAGCTACTCGGGAAGCTGAGGAATGAGAAGCTTGAACCCAGGAGGTGGAGGTTGCAGTTAGCTGAGATCGTGCCACTGCTCTCCAGCCTCGGCAACAAGAGTGAGACTCTGTTTCAAAAAAAAAAAAAAAAAAAACAGAAATGACTGCTTCTTTTTTCTTTGAAAGGGAGTCTTGCTCTGTTGCTCAACATGGTGAAACCCCATCTCTACTAAAAATACAAAAATTAGCTAGGCATGGTGGTGCACGCCTATAGTCCCAGCTACTCGGGAGGCCGAGGCAGGAGAATCACTTGAACCCGGAAGGTGGAGGTTGCAGTGAGCCGAGATCGCGCCACTGTACTCCAGCCTGGCAACAGAGAGAGACTCCATCTCAAAAAATAAATAAATAAATAAATAAAGTAAAATCAATAAAAATTGAAAAAATTGATATCATCTTTGTTTACATTTAAACAATTTTGCTTCAACTATTCAATTATTGCTAATACGGTCCAAGAAATAGGAGAAGCATTGTGTGACAGAGTACACACATATTAGATGAGGACAAGTGTGCACTGATGGCACAAGACACCCTAGTGACTCAACATAATATGTTTACAAATACCTAAATTACTCAATGGGAGTAACTGGGCTAATTCTCAGATTGGATTAAAAACAATTTTAGGCTGGGGCATGGTGGCTCACGCCTGTAATCCCAGCATTTTGGGAGGCCGAGGTGGGTGGATCACCTGAGGTCAGGAGTTCGAGACCAGCCTGGCCAACCTGGTGAAACCCTCATCTCTACTAAAAATACAAAATTAGCTGGGCATGGTGGCGGATGCCTGTAATCCCAGCTACTTGGGAGGCTGAGGCTGGAGACTCACTTGAACCCAAGAGGCAGAGGTTGCAGTGAACCAAGATCACGCCACTGCACTCCAGCCTGGGTGACAGAGCAAGGCTCTGTCTCAAAAAAAAAAGAAAAAAGACAAAAAACAAAACAAAAAAAATTTTAGAAGCTATGATTAAAATGAATGATCATGCTACTAAAATTTAAAAATACATAACTCATAATTAATTTTCATAAAAATAATAGATATGTTTGTTTATCTCAGCTACATACTTATACTACTAAGAGAATAAAACATAGTCAGATAATTTAATAATTGCCTAAACCAGAAAAAGGAAGCCACTACATGAATATCTGCCAGACCTCTAAAATAATTATTATTAGTAGAAAAGACTTTATGATTAAAACATGTCAAAATCCATAGTGCATACACTATAGATAAGTGTTTTTGGAGAACCCTATGCTATTAATTTTGTTCAGTCTAAATCATTTATGCCTGAGAAGACTAAACATGTTCAAATAAGGTGTACTGTCAGCTACTATTGCAGTCATGTTGTAATTGTCGCTTTGTGAAAGACATGTTGTTTTCTGCACCAAGACATTAGCTTCCACCCATGTATGGGTCTGCTTTCTTCACGAATCTAAAAGGCATCACTCTTTCACTATGATGTCACAATAAAAATACAAGGCTAATGATCAAAAGTGTAAAATATGAATTCGACAATTAGCATTTGAATTACTTTATCAAAAGTGAATTTCTAATTATTTTGAATCTGCATTTTCACCATACTTATCTCTTTGTTTACCTTCGCATCTTAGAAAAGTTAGAAAATGGTGGCCAGGCGCGGTGGCGCACGCCTGTAATCCCAGCACTTTCAGAGGCCGAGGCGGGTGGATCACGAGGTCAGGAGTTCAAGACCAGCCTGGCCAAGATGGTGAAACCCCACCTCTACTAAAAATACAAAAATTAGCCGGGCGTGGTTGTAGGTGCCTGTAATCCCAGATACTGGGGAGGCTGAGGCAGAGAACTGCTTGAACCCAGGAGGCGGAGGTTGCAGTGAGCCAAGATCACGCCACTGCACTCCAACCGGGGTGACAGAGAGAGACTCTGTCTCAAAAAAAAAAAAAAAAAAAAAAAGAAAGAAAAGTTAGAAAATGGTGCCATTCCATTCTACAAGTCATCAACTTTACTACATAGTTCATATGATGGATGGTATAGGCATGACTTTGTATTACATGAAAAATATCATGGCATATCACTCCTGTCCCCTTTTAGCTTATTCCATTCTAACAGTGTGTTTTGAAACTGTTATGAAATATCATGTTAAAGTACCTGACAATATGTATCAAGACTACAAAGCTATTTCTTCTCTCAAAAAGTACAGGTAGACCAAAATGCTATTGGGTAAAAGCCTCTTGTTTAATTTTGCAAAAAATTAAAATGTGATTTACCTCACAGATAAACAATTAAATGTGTAAAATAAAAATAGAAAATGCATAAATGTGTCTTATTCAATATGCATTTAAGAGCACACACTACTTGGTAAGAAATGTGCTAGCTGTCCAGCTTGGCTTGAAAACATGCATTATGTAAATTAGTTTATTTAGAAATAATAGAAATAATAAAATAATGAAAATAATAATGGAAAACTGTAGGTTTTATTACTAATAAGTTTGTTTTGAGAAATTATTGAATTGCTTAGGGACTCCCAAAATTCCATCTCCATTTTTTCAATTTCCTATCTTTCTAATAAAGTACTTTTGGTTAATGTGGAATATCTATACCCAATAATGTACTTCAAAAAGTATGTGACATGGGTAATTTGTTGCCTATAAGGTCTGGTTCTGTAATAGCATATTGCTTTGATTTTTAAGTAATTAATCAATGGCTAGGTGTGGTGGCTCACACCTGCAATCCCAGCACTTTGGAAGGCCAAGGTGGGAGGATCACTTGAGCCCAGGAGTTGGAGACCAGTATGGGCAACATAATGAGACCTCATCTCTGCCAAAAATTAAAAAAATTAGCTGGATGTGGTGGTGCATCCCTGTAGTCCCAGCTACTCAGGAGGCTGAGGTGGGAAAATTGCTTGAGCCTGGGATGTGGAGGCTGCAGTGAGCCATGATGGCACCACAGCACTCCAGCCTGAGCAACAGAGAGACCCTGTCTCAAAAAAAACCAAATAAATTAATTAAAAAATTAAAATTAAAAATAAATAAATAATTTATCAGATTATCTCAAGACTGCATTATATTGGCCGGGCGCAGTGGCTCACGCCTGTAATCCCAGCACTTTGGGAGGCTGAGGAGGGCGGATCACGAGGTCAGGAGATCGAAACCATCCTGGCTAACACGGTGAAACCCCGTCTTTACTAAAAATACAAAAAATTAGCTGGGCGTGGTGGCGGGCGCCTGTAGTCCCAGCTACTCGGGAGGCTGAGGCAGGAGAATGGCGTGAACCCGGGAGGCGGAGCTCGCAGTGAGCCGAGATTGCACCACTGCACTCCAGCCTAGGTGACAGAGCAAGACTCCGTCTCAAAAAAAAAAAAAAAAAAAAAAAAAAAAGACTGCATTATAACCAAACCAATAATATGCATGCTTAGTTTGCATTAAAATGCAATAAATTTTGGAATGAGTCAAATCTGAAAAAAAATACTAATAGAACTATTAATTTTAAAAGATACGTGTTTATACTCTAAAGCATATGTGAGGGAGGGCTGTGAGGGTAAGCCAGTCAGACAAGACTTCCTAGAAGTGGAGGGGAAAGCTGACATGTTAATTTCATTGTTTTCTGGTTTTAAGGTCTTTAAGAATGCTTTGGAATGAGTCAATACATATATATATATTCCACCCTCTTCCCTTCTTGTGAGCTTGGAGATTTTATGGTGAAGAGATCTCATGCTGCTAGTACAGCAGAAAACCATATTTTAATTCTGGGGCTTAGGGTCTCGTTTAGTTACATGTTAGTTGCATCTTTTTTTCCTGATGTCTTACTTTGCTGCCTTTAAATGAAATATTTTTATGAAACATTAAGATAATGTACATTATTATGAAGGGAAAACCAAAACTGCAGTGTTTCTGAAGGGCATATGGCTTCATAAAACTGTTGGTGGTAGATCTGTGTTGTAGGATGGAAATCTATAGCAGAAGTAATCTGTGGCTCAAGAAAAAAGGTGGCTGCCAACTACCTGCATATGAATGAAACATTTGTGGCCGTTAAGACTACTGTTTTAAAACAGCAGTATGCATGCATGACCATAAATACATTTGACATTTATATAGCCCGGCTCTAATTTCCGTGTTCTCTGCATATGGAACAGCAAGAGCCATAAATGTTATTACACATTGCTCCTTAATATGCAAAGGTGAACCTGTATACTCAGTACATATTGCCTCAGCTTGTTAATGAGCATTTCATGGACTGTGTAACTGCTGAACTACATTCTGCTAGAAACATTGAGTTGTTCCTTCAGGCCTTATGTTTCAGCAAGCTTGTTCTCACTTTGATGTATAAATTAGAGCAATACACTGAAGGGACCCAGGGGTTACTTGATGTTGAATCTTTCCTGTGAAATTGAATATAGCTCTCTTCAAATGTGCTTCTGAAGCATTTTTTTCCTTCCTGTATTTAATGTGGAAGAATTTCTACTGCTATAGAAATAAACCTCTAGATTAAAAATTACTTGTATTTACTTTAATAAAAAATTAGTCTATGGCCTTTCCCTTGCATTATATGAGGAAATAAGAGAGTGAATCTCAAAGAAACACTTACGCTAGTATATACAGATCCCTTTGTTATTTGTTCTTCAAGAGAACAAAGAGAGTATTTGTGTGAATATGGTATTACTTTTTTTTTTTTTGAGACAGAGTTTTGTTGTTTCACCCCGGCTGGAGTAAAGTGGCCCGATCCCCGCTCACTGGAACCTCCCCACCCCCAGGTTCAAGTGAGTCTCCTGCCTCAGCCTCCCGAGTAGCTGGGATTATAGGTGTCCGCCACCATGCTCGGCTAATTTTTGTATTTTGGTAGAGACGGGGTTTTGCTATGTTGGCCAGCCTGGTCTCAAACTCCTGACCTCAGGTGATCCACCCGCCTTGGCCTCCCAAAGTGCTAGGATTACAGGCGTGAGCCACCATGCCTACCACAGTATTACTGTTTGAGGGCTTTTTCCCTACCCTTTACAAGTTTAAAGACATAAAAGGATTGAACTGGAGGAAATCTTAGAAATCCCCAAGTTCTGAACCCTCATTTTATAGAAAAACATGTTCAGGTTCATATTGCAAAAGAGGCCTTCCCAAAAACACACAACTAATTCCTAACAAGGTTTCCTAATCCTCAGGATGGTATTCTACATACTATATAACACTGCTAACCCAACATTGATTTTTTTTAATTATAAAATAAATTTGCTGGCTGAGCACGGTGGCTCATGTCTGTAATCCCAGCACTATGAGAGGTCCAGGATAGTGGATTTCTTGAGCCCAGGAGTTCAAGACCAGCCTGGGCAACATAGTGAGACCCTGTTTCTACAAAAAAATACAAAACATTTGCTAAGCATGGTGGCACATGACTATAGTCCCATCTACTCAAGAGACTGAGGAGTGAGGATCGCTTGAGCCTAGGAGGGGGAGTTACGATGAGCTGTGATTGTGCCTCTGCACTCCAGCCTGGGCAACAGAGGGAGACCCTGTCTCAAAAAATAATAATAGATAAATAAATCAATAAATAAAATAAAAATACATTTGCTAAAATAAGAAAACAGCCAGAAAGATTATCTAAGAATTTAATTTTCTTGGAGCTTTCTACATCTGTCTACACCTGCATTAATGCTAATGTATTAATATTAGTTTTGGCCTCCAACGCTATTAAAAGTTGTATTGGATCAATCTGAAAATCTAAGAAGATGGTAGAAAGAGCTGTTACTCTTTGTTCCTTGATTCTCTGTTGAGCTCAATAACTTAATGTGCCACCATGAGTAAATTTTAAAAGTTAGAAATCAGTTTTGAATTAAATAAATATTATAGGCTATTTAATAAAACATACCTTCAAGATGATCTATGAATACCAAAATAATGTCTGAATGGATTAACCCCAGTTCTGGTCAAAGTCTCAAGAAAAATTAAAAATATATTTCAAGTATGTCATTCTAAGCATTAAAAGCTAAGTGTTGAGCTAACTAAAACACTCACATTTACACGCCTTACAAACATGCTGCTGCAGAGTATACATTTTACATTTTAAATTATGGGCAACTATCGCTCAGAGAAACTATGGATCTGAGAATATAATTCCACTGAAGCTATGTTACATGAGAGAGACTTAGTAGTAGAAATCTGTGATGGTTAATATTAAGTGTCAATTTGTTTGGATTGCAGGATGCAAAGTATTGTTTCTGGGTGTGTCTGTGAGGGTGTTGCCAGAGGAGATTAACATTCGAGTCAGTGAACTGGGAAAGGCCAACTCACCCTCAGTCTGGGTGGGCATCATCCAATCACCTGCCAGCGCAGCTAGAAAAGGCAGTCAGAAGAAGGTGGGATAAGCCGACATGCTGAGTCTTCCTCTGGATGCTCCCTGTCCTCGAACATCAGACTCCAGGTTCTTCAGTTTTTGGACTCTTGGATTTACACCAGTGGTTTGCTAGGGGCTCTCAGGCCTTCAGCCACAGACTGAAGGCTAAACTGTTGGCTTCCCTACTTTCGAGGTTTTGGGACTCGGAATGAGCCACTACTGGCTTCCTAGCTCTTCAGCTTGCAGACAGTCTATCGTGGGACTTCATCTTGTGATCCTGTGAGTCAGTTCTCCTTAATAAACTCCCTTTAATATATACATATATACTATTAGTTCTGTCCCTCTAGAAAACCCTGACTAGTACAGTCTCCTTCTAGTTAAATACATATTTTTTCATTATTTTCTTTCTGCTTGAAACTAGAAGAATAAAATTAAACTTTATTACTCTGCAAAACTTGTGGTCTATGAGTACCTCACAATAAATATGTGTTTCATTTAACACATATTTATTGAATGCCCAAATACAGTCATGTTGATCTAGTCTACATAGATAACTGCAATATAAAGTAGTGGTAAGAATAAATGATAATTGGTATTGGAGATCAATGGATAGAGAGGTCAGTTCCAGTTGTCATGAATTAGAAGACTTCATGGGGAGAGTTTAACTTCAAAAATGGAAAGGGACTGGGCACAGTGTCTCATGCCTGTAATCCCAACACTTTGGGAGGCTGAGGAGGGCGGATCACCTGAGGTCAGGAATTTGAGACCAGCCTGACCAAAATGGCAAAACCCCAGCCGGGCATGGTAGTGGGGGCCTGTAATCCCAGCTACTCGGGGAGGCTGAGACAGGAGAATCGCTTGAACCCAGGAGGCAGAGGTTGCAGTGAGCCGAGTTCGCGCCATTGCACTCCAGCCTGGACGACAGAGCAAGACTCCGTCTCAAAAATAAATAAATAAATAAATAAATGGAAAGGACAGGTGACATTCTTTTGATCCAGTAGGGGTGCAGGGTAGGAGAGGAGAGTTTCCAAGATGGAAGCTGCAAGTTTATGCAAGGCAGGGAGCAAGGAAACCACAGGTATGTTTAGACAATGTTCAGAAAATAAGTTTGGATGAGACAAAGTGTTTGTGTAAAGGAAGAAGCAGCAGAAACTACAATTGGGATATAAAGAACCTTGAAAGACTTTGATCTTTGCCTTTAGGAAAGTGATTTTTAAAAGTTAGAAAAGTTTACAATTTGTAATACACCTCTCCACCTTTTTAATGGAAATTCAACAGAATCAAAGCCACAATATAGAAAATAGATAAAAAGGCTAGTTTCTCAGGATCATGTCTGTAAGCCAGGATTCCTGATCCAGAGACAATGGCCCCGATGGGATGGAGCCCGAAGGCGTCATCGAGAGTAACTGGAATGAGATTGTTGACAGCTTTGATGACATGAACCTCTCGGAGTCCCTTCTCCGTGACATCTATGCCTATGGTTTTGAGAAGCCCTCTGCCATCCAGCAGCAAGCCATTCTACCTTGTATCAGGGGTTATAATGTAATCGCTCAAGCCTGATCTGGGACTGGGAAAATGGCCACATTTGCCATATCGATTCTGCAGCAGATTGCATTAGATCTAAAAGCCACCCAGGCCTTGGTCCTAGCACCCACTCGAGAATTGGCTCAGCAGATACAGAAGGTGGTCATGGCACTAGTAGACTACATGGGTGCCTCCTGTCATGCCTGTATCAGGGGCACCAATGTGCGTGCTGAGGTGCAGAAACTGCAGATGGAAGCTCCCCACATCATCGTGGGTACCCCTAGCTGTGTGTTTGATATGCTTAACCGGAGATACCTATCTCCCAAATACATCAAGATGTTTGTACTGGATGAAGCTGACGAAATGTTAAGCCGTGGATTCAAGGACCAGATCTATGACATATTCCAAAAGCTCAACAGCAACACCCAGGTAGTTTTGCTGTCAGCTACAATGCCTTCTGATGTGCTTGAGGTGATCAAGAAGTTCATGAGGGACCCCATTCGGATTCTTGTCAAGAAGGAAGAGTTGACCCTGGAGGGTATCCGCCAATTCTACATCAACGTGGAACGAGAGGAGTGGAAGCTGGACACACTATGTGACTTGTATGAAACCCTGACCATCACCCAGGCAGTCATCTTCATCAATACCCGGAGGAAGGTGGACTGGCTCACCGAGAAGATGCATGCTCGAGATTTCACTGTCTCCGCCATGCATGGAGATATGGACCAAAAGGAGCGAGACGTGATCACGAGGGAGTTTCGTTCTGGCTCTAGCAGAGTTTTGATTACCACTGACCTGCTGGCCAGAGGCATTGATGTGCAGCAGGTTTCTTTAGTCATCAACTATGACCTTCCCACCAACAGGGAAAACTATATCCACAGAATCAGTCGAGGTGGACAGTTTGGCCGTAAAGATGTGGCTATTAACATGGTGACAGAAGAAGACAAGAGGACTCTTCGAGACATTGAGACCTTCTACAACACCTCCATTGAGGAAATGCCCCCAATGTTGCTGACCTCATCTGAGGGGCTGTCCTGCCACCCAGCCCCAGCCAGGGCTCAATCTCGGGGGGCTGAGGAGCAGCAGGAGAGGGGAAGGAAGGGAGCCAAGGGATAGACATCTTGTCATTTTTTTTCTTTGAATAAATGTCACTTTTTGAGGCAAAAAAAAAAAAATAGATAAAAAGGTAGGTATTATGGTTAAAGTAGAAGTACTGTTCCTTCCCCTGAATCTAACCCCTATACACTCACTGACCTTCCTCAAATATTTTGGATCTGCAAATAGTTTTAAGCAAAAATAAGGTCATATGTTCTTCAGGGAAGTTAATCAATAAACTAAGTGTTTTAAATATAATCTAGCACTGGCGTTAATCTCTTGCACCCAAAATAGAAAATATAAATCACTGCCTTTTTTAGAGTTAATTTACACTGAAACAACTTGAGTAATTCTTCAAAGAAGCTTCAAATGATCAACTTTAGCAATTAATTATAATTAGGACTCAGGTGCCATGATTTAAAAAAAAATTGAAAAATGGCTGAACAAACTAATAGCAAAATTTTCTTAATCATAAACTCATTACTAGGAGCCTCATGATGAATTAAATCTATAAATGGATTATCATGGTGGAATAAAAGATAAGTGAATAATTTTAAAATGAATATAAGTAAACAACACAATGATATCAAATTGTCATAAGAAAACATTATAATAAATCTCTATCTAAAAAGTGAACATGCCTATTGAAATTGTCCACACAAATGACAGTAGGTAGCAATTATAGGATGAAAATCATTAATAGTTTAACTCATTTGCATTTTCCATTAAGAGAAAATATCAAAATACCAAACATTTCAGGAATTCTTTGGGAAAGAATTTGTTTCAAAAATTTAAAACAGTAGGACACTATGATGACTATACTTTTTTTTTTTTTTTTTTACCAGAACATCACCCTATCCCAGATACTGTTTGCCAAGCCTCTCTCAAATCTATGAGCCTGCCTGCTATGATGTAGCTGTCTTCTGCACAAATAACGCATGTCTTATCTTGCCTGTTCTGATCACACACAGTTGTTCATCTTGTATACTCTCTCTTATGAAATTATAAGCTCCATAAGAGCAAAGGTTATAGCTTATAGCTGATACCTTTTTTTTTTTTTTTTGGTATTCCTGGTTGTGTGATAATCAGTGCAGTTTAGAAAAATGAGCATTAGAGGCTGGGCGCAGTGGCTCACACCTGTAATCCTAGCACTTTGGGAGGCCGAGGCGGGTGGATCACGAGGTCAGGGAATCGAGACCATCCTGGCTAACAAGGTGAAACCCCGTCTCTACTAAAAATACAAAAAAATTAGCCGGGCGAGGTGGCGGGCGCCTGTAGTCCCAGCTACTCGGGAGGCTGAGGCAGGAGAATGGCGTGAACCTGGGAGGTGGAGTTTGCAGTGAGCCGAGATCGGCCACTGCACTCCAGCCTGGGCGACAGAGTGAGACTCTGTCTCAGATAAATAAATAAATAAATAAATGAAAAATGAGAATTAGAGTGGGGTTGTGAAATAGCCTCAGTTCTGTCACTAACTATGTGACTTGGGAAACTATTTTATATTTCAGAATTTCAATTTTCACTTTTGTAAAATGATGACATTGGACTATATCTTCTACGGCTCTTTCAACTTAGTAATGTTGTGACTAAAGGAAACTGGATAAATAAATGCTGTTTTTTTAAAATTTCCTATACATTTTTCTTCTTACATTCTACCTTAAAATTAAAAAAAAATGAAATATTAATTTGAGGAAATTTATTTTCTTCGAGTAGCATTACATTTTTATTTAAGATGAGTAGATACAGCTCATATGAACAGTTTCTAATAGAGGGGCAACTACATTTTCATGAAAAAATTCATTTCTCATTAATAACTAGAAGCACTGAGTAGAATATGAAGTTTCTAGACAGACTTGTAAAAAACTACTGATAAAACCTCATCTGTATTGCGAAAACATATGCTTAGAAAGTAGTTGACGCTGATTTTTTTTTTTTTTTTTTTTTTTTTTTTTTTTAGCGTTAGGTGATTCAAATCCAGCTCAGAAAGTTTAAGGCTAATACAGAGCTTACTTTCATATTCTCCAAACCTACAGAGAATGCTGGTAATAAAATATCACTGCTGCAGACTAAACTAAATAAGGCTCATAATAATCTTTCCTTTGCCAAGTATTTAGAAGGTCTGTCCAGGTGAAAATATTTGCTGTTTGTGGAGCTACCAAAGGCCTAGAATACCCCAGATGTTGACTGCATTTACATATTAACATAACTTAAGAAAGGTTATCAGCATGTCCTGGTTCCTCTAAGAAAAAAAAAGAGAGCCAGAAAGGGATATTTGGAGCTATCAAGAATATGGTGTGCTGTGAAAAGAAATTAAATTTTTGGACCCCAAACTCATTTATCCAAAGGGAAAAGTCAAGCTGGGAACTGAGTCACACAAACCTGCCTCCCCCTTTTGGTTCCTCGATGAGATGGCTACCAGATGAAAGGCTACCCGCCTCCCCCATATTTTGCCCACAAGGAAATTCCTGGCCAGCTGTTAAAAACTTCTCCATGGCCATGCAAATTGATAGCTTATCTTTACAGGTGCAGTCACCCAGCCTGCCAGACAAAAATGCATAGCTGATTGTTCCCCTTCCCCATTTTGTCTGTTATGTAAAATGCAGATTCTTCACATTTTTCCTCTGCCCCCCCCTTGTTTATGTAAAAACTGTGTGCTTCTCAATATCCCACCCTTTCCCCTTTAAATTTGGAGCCCTCAAAATCATCTTTGGAGAAAGGCGTAGACCTGTCTCCCGGGTGCATCCTTAATTTTGGCAAATAAATCTCCTAAAATGATTGAGGCTTGTCATTTTCCTCGGTTGACAGTGTCTACTGAAATTCAAAACTTTTTCTTTGATTTGTTTAGGTATCTTGTCTATATTGGCATTGGTACTGTGAAATCTTAGTCTAAGATTTTATTTTTCTCTTTCTTTGTAAGAGCCTAAGATTTATGTATTCCAATTGAATTACTTAGTCTATACAATACAAATCTCATTTTCAATAAGCTGGAACTTTCGTAGACCTTCTAATTTGTTTTATTCACAATCTTTCAAGGATAAGTTTAAAATAAAAATCCTTTTAAATATATGATTGATTTATATTTAGGGACTAATCAATCTATAAAAGTAGCTATTTCAATTATGAAGTAACTTAAAGAAAAGATTAACTGCTGAGAAAAAATGCAGCTCCATCGGTCAATAGCTAAATTATACAGTGTTTTATTCAATAACTATATCTTCAAAAAATAACTTCCTAGTCTTGAAACTATCTTTGCAAAAATTATAACTGAGGATATTATGATAGTGAAAGAGATTAGACCTAATCAACTCCATCTTGCTTCTAACCTTTAAGCTGTCCTTGTTCATTCCTAGGCATAGGCCAAACTAACCTTGGGAAGGAATTTAGTTTATGGTTTGACTCTGAAATGAAATTATAGCCCTTTCCCAAAAAGACTCCCTTCTTGCTTTGGGCCCAGTCTGCCTTTGTAGGACTAACAAACTAGCTACAAGAGTAGGAATTACGTTTAGGGGTCATGCAGCTTCTGGATGCAAGAGTCTGAACCTCACCAAATTGATCCTGGAGATAACATCACTATTTTAAAACCTAAGATCAGTGCTTGAGATATTTTGCAAACCCTGCACTTGATGGATTAGCTGATACCACCCAGACCTGGCTCAACCAGTTCTGTGATCCCACCCAGGAACAGAAGACAACAAGAAAACCTCACTTCGACCCCTCTATGATTCCATCTTCAATCCGAACAATCAGTACTTCCCACTTCCCAAGCCCCTACTGCCAAGTTATCTTAAATGTTTTTTTTTTGAGATGGAATCTCCCTCTGTCACCCAGGCTGGAGTGCAGTGGCATGATCTCGGCTCACAGCAACCTCCGTCTCCTGGACTCAACCAGTAATTCTCCTACCTCAGCCTCCAGAGTAGCTGGGACTACAGGCGCCTGCCACCACGCCCAGCTAATTTTTGCATTTTTAGTAGAGACAGGGTTTCACCACGTTAGCCAGGCTGGTCTCAGGTGATCCACCTGCCTCGGCCTCCCAAAGTGCTGGGATTACAGGCATGAGCCACCGTGCCTGGCCCAAGTTATCTTTAAAAACTCCAGTCCCCAAGCATTCCTCCAAATGCTCAGGGAGGCTGATTTGAGTAATAATAAAACTCCAGTCTCCCACACAGCCGGCTCTGAGTGAATTACTCTTTCTCCATTGCAGTCCCCCTGGTCTTAATAAATCGTCTCTGTCTAGGCAGCGGGCAAGGTGAACCCGTTGGGCGGTTACAGTATTACAAAACTTATAATGATAATAGAACATTTTACTTAACATTATTCAATGCTTAACAGGACATAATTTAGGTTAATATTAGGTAATCCTGACCATAGTTATCTATGCATTTTAATTCTATGTCCCTACCTCTTACGGCTTATCAAAATGAAAAGGAATAATATATCCTATAGCAAGGTTAACACTTCGTATTTCAAAGGATGAGAGGTTATGTTTACGGATGCATTATTGGAATTCTATTTAAAAAGTATTTCCTCCCACATTCTTCTATCAAAAACCAGCCATGTAGTAAAGGTCAGAGTGGAAAACAGAGTAGTCTGCATTATATTATATGTGTACCATAATGGTGAAACATTATATTGACAGATTTAGGGAAAGCTTTTTTTTTTAATCATATTGAGGTATAAAAGACAAAAATCAATGCAGCCGAAAACTAACCTCAGAATGACAGTGTTTTATATTTTTCTAAGCCTCTACCAAAAATTTATTTCACTGTCTTACTTAATATTCAAAATGGATGCACGCTGATTTGAAGTACAGTGTCTTGCCAAGGCAGTCAGCCTTAGAAATACTAAATCCCTTTTACTTTTTTTAATCACAGTGTTAAATTCTCCTGAGTGAATCACAAGTCCAAGGTGGCTGAATGCACTTGCCAGTCTATTGCTATTGAAGCACCTTAATGACATAAAGAAGAAGAAACCAATGAACATTGTTATATATTTCATTTTAAACTGATGTAGACATTTTGAGGAAATCTGCATTTTGAACCAGGTATGTTTTCAGAACAGATCTTGGACTACATGATGTCTAAAAACTAAATAATATCCAAGGATCCTTCATGATTAAATTATCTTCACTCAGCTTGTCAAAGAGCTCTGCTTCTTTATATCAGAACTATATTTTTTCTTTATCAGTTCATATTGTTTATATACAAAGATATTTCACAAACTATCAAATAGCACTGATAAATTAATTTGACTAGTGATTTCCTATACATATTGGCATATTGTCGATGAAAAGAGTCAAATTCTGTAAAGTATTTTAAGAGATTTATTCTGAGCCAAATATGAGTGACCATGGCCCATGACATAGCCCTCAGGAAGTCCTGAGAACATGTGCCCAAGGTGGTTGGGGTACAGCTCGGTTTTATATATTTTAGGGAAGTATGAGACATCAATCAAATACATTTAAGAAATACATTGTTTTGGTTCAGAAACGTGGGACAATTCAAAGTGGGGGCTTTGAGTTCAAGCGATTCTCCTGCCTCAGCCTCCCGAGTAGCAGGGATTACAGGCATGTGCCAACCATGCCCTGCTAATTTTGTATTTTTAGTAGAGACGGGGTTTCTCCATGTTGGTCAGGCTGGTCTAGAACTCCCGACTTCAGGTGATCAGCCCGCCTCTGCCTCCCAAAGTACTGGGATTACAGGCGTGAGCCACCACACCCAGCCTCTTGGTGATTTGGACAATGGATTCCATTAACATCCAAGGGTGTTTTGAACCCAAAAGTACCTAAGACAGCTCTCAAAATGTTAACTCAAAAGTATCTGAAACAGGTCTCAATCAGTTTAGAATGTTTATTTTGCCAAGGTTAAGGACATGCCCATGACACAGCCTCAAGAGGCCCTGAAAATATGCCCAGGGTGGTCAGGGTACAGCTTGTTTTTACATATTTTGAGGAGACATCACACGTCAATCAACACATGTAAGATTTACATTGGTTCCATCTGGAAGGGCAGACTAACTCAAAGTGATGAAGGGATTGAGGAGGGGGATTGAGGGGTGGCTTCCAGGTCATAGATGGATTTAAAAATGTTCTGACTGGCAATTGGCTGAAAGAGAGTTATCAATAGAAAGGAATGTTTGGATTAAGTTAAGGGGTGGTGGAGACCTCGATTTTATCATGCAGAGGAGGCCTCCAAGTAATAGGCTTCTGAGAGAATAGATTGTAAATGTTTCTTATCAGATTTAAGATCTGTGTTGATGCTAATGCTGGTGGGATGTATAGTGAGGCATGTGCCTTCCCCTCTTCTGTCATGTCCTGAACTGGTTTTTCAGGTTAACTGTGGAATGCCCTTGGCCAAGAGGAGGGGTCCATTTGATGATTGGATGGCCTTAGAATTTATTTTTGGTTAATAGTGCCACACAGCTAAATCCAAGAGAGTGTCTTAGAAAATGTAAGTGATATCTTGTTAACTATAGACTTAATTCAGTATTTGAATTATTTAAAAAAGATAACCCAATAAATGATAATATGGCTTTTAAAAATTTTTCCCAGTAGGAAGTTTTTATAATATTTTAATCAACAGGTATTTGAGGAATGCCAAATCAAATAGTAGATATCAAAAACTTAGTAAAATATTTATTAAAGATTAACACAAAGTGTCTGGAGTTGCACAAAATTGATAAAAATATATACTGTGTTACTTCCAATTTTGCTCCATATTCACATATTTTAAAAATTTGCAATAATTACTTTGCTAAGATGGCAAGAACATACAGAAACAACAATGAAAAAGAACAAAATGTCTGAGTAAACATAGCCAGAATTGTTCAATAGTCATAAGAAAAATATTTAACATAATTTAGGACAAAAATCTAGGATGGAATAAAAGACATGATGTAATCTTGGGTAGAAGGATTCAGCATCATAAAGCTGATGATTCTCTCTAAGTTAACATCAAAATTAGTGTGATTCCAACAAGAACAGCAACATTTTTAGAGCTAGATAAATTGATTCTAACGTTAATCTGATTCAACAATCCCATTTCTAGAAATATGGATAAATGATATGTGTGAAAGATTTTTCATTACAGCACTGTTTACCATTTTATCATTTTAAAGTTGAAAATAAGTCCCAATATCCATGTATAAGGGACTGTTTATAACAGCTATGAGATAACCTACAAATATTTGTTTATATCTACATACAGAAACTCTGGAAACATATTTGAGAAACTAATAAGAATGATTAACTGTAGAGGGAAGTGTCAGGCCTCTGAGCCCAAGCCAAGCCATCGCATCCCCTGTGACCTGCACTATATGCCCGGATGGCCTGAACTAACTAAAGAATCACAAAAGAAGTGAATATGCCCTGCCCCACCTTAACTGATGACATTCCACCACAAAAGAAGTGTAAATGGCCGGTCCTTGCCTTAACTGATGACATTACCTTGTGAAAGTCCTTTTCCTGGCTCATCCTGGCTCAAAAAGCACCCCCACTGAGCACCTTGCGACCCCCACTCCTGCCCACTGAGCACCTTGCGACCCCCACTCCTACCCGCCAGAGAACAAACCCCCTTTGACTGTAATTTTCCTTTACCTACCCAAATCTTATAAAACGGCCCCACCCCTATCTCCCTTCGCTGACTCTCTTTTCCGACTCAGCCCGCCTGCACCCAGGTGAAATAAACAGCCATGTTGCTCACACAAAGCCTGTTTGGTGGTCTCTTCACACGGACGCGCATGAAATTTGGTGCCGTGACTCAGATCGAGGGACCTCCCTTGGGAGATCAATCCCCTGTCCTCCTGCTTTTTGCTCCGTAAGATCCACCTAGGACCTCAGGTCCTCAGACCGACCAGCCCAAGAAACATCTCACCAATTTCAAATCCGGTAAGAGGCCTATTTTTACTCTCTTCTCCAACCTCCCTCATTATCCCTCAACCTCTTTCTCCTTTCAATCTTGGAACCACACTTCAATCTCTCCCTTCTCTTAATTTCAATTCCTTTCATTTTCTGGTAGAGACAAAAGAGACATGTTTTATCCGTGAACCCAAAACTCCGGTGCCGGTCACGGACTGGGAAGGCAGCCTTCCCTTGGTGTTTAATCATTTCAGGGACACCTCTCTGATTATACACTCACGTTTCAAGGATGTCAGACCACGCAGGGATGCCTGACTTGGTCCTTCACCCTTGGTGGCAAGTCTCGCTTTCCTGGGGCAGGGGCAAGTACCCCTCAACCCCTTCTCCTTCACCCTTAGTGGCAAGTCCCGCTTTCCTAGGGGGCAAGAACCCCCCAATCGCTTATTTCCACGCCCCAACCTCTTATCTCTGTGCCCCAATCCCTTATTTCCACGCCCCAATCTCTTATCTCTGCACCCCAATCCCTTATTTCCGTGCCCCAACTCTTTCTCTGCTTTTCTGGAGGGGAAGAAAACCCCACCCCTTCTCCATGTCTCTACTCTTTTCTCTGGGCTTGCCTCCTTCACTATGCTTCCACCTTCCATTCCTCCTTCTTCTCCCTTAGCCTGTATTCTTAAGAACTTAAAACCTCTTCAATTCTCACCTGACCTAAAATCTAAGCGTCTTATTTTCTTCTGCAATGCCGCTTGACCCCAATACAAACTCGACAGTAGTTCCAAATAGCCAGAAAACGGCACTTTCAATTTTTCCATCCTGCAAGATCTAAATAATTCTTGTTGTAAAATGGGCAAATGGTCTGAGGTGCCTGACGTCCAGGCATTCTTTTACACATCAGTCCCCTCCTAGTCTCTGTGCCCAGTGCAACTCCTCCCAAATCTTCTTTCTTTCCCTCCCGCCTGTCCCCTCAGTACCAACCCCAAGTGTCGCTGAGTCTTTCTAATCTTCCTTTTCTACAGACCCATCTGACCTCTCCCCTCCTCGACAGGCTGAGCTAGGTCCCAATTCTTCCTCAGCCTCCACTCCTCCACCCTATAATCTTTTTATCGCCTCCCCTCCTCACACCTGTTCCGGCTTACAGTTTCATTCCGTGACTAGCACTCCCCCACCTGCCCAGCAATTTATTCTTAAAAAGGTGGCTGGAGCTAAAGGCATAGTCAAGGTTAATGCTCCTTTTTCTTTATCCCAAATCAGATAGTGTTTAGGCTCTTTTTCATCAAATATAAAAATCCAGCCCAGTTCATGACTTGTTTGGCAGCAACCCTGAGACACTTTACAGCCCTAGGCCCTAAAAGGTCTAAAGGCCGTCTTATTCTCAATATACATTTTATTACCCAATCTGCTCCCGACATTAAATAAAACTCCAAAAACTGGAATCTGGCCCTCAAACCCCACAACAGGACTTAATTAACCTCACCTTCAAGGTGTGCAATAACAGAAAAAAGTTGCAATTCCTTGCCACCACTGTGAGACAAACCCCAGCCACATCTCCAGCACACAAGAACTTCCAAACGCCTGAACTGTAGCAGCCAGGCGTTCCTCCAGAACCTTCTCCCCCAGGAACTTGTTACACATGCCGGAAATCTGGCCACTGGGCCAAGGAACGCCCGCAGCCCAGGATTCCTCCTAAGCCACGTCCCATCTGTGTGGGACCCCACTGAAAATCGGACTGTTCAACTCACCTGGCAGCCACTCCCAGAGCTCCTGGAACTCTGGCCCAGGGCTCTCTGACTGACTCCTTCTTGGCTTACCGGCTGAAGACTGATGCTGCCCGATCGCCTCAGAAGCCCCGTAGACCATCACGGACGCCGAGCTTTAGGTAACTCACAGTGGAGGGTAAGCCCGTCCCCTTCTTAATCAATACGGAGGCTACCCACTCCACATTACCTTCTTTTCAAGGGTCTGTTTCCCTTGCCTCCATAACTGTTGTGGGTATTGACAGCCAGGCTTCTAAACCTCTTAAAACTCCCCCCACTCTGGTGCCAACTTAGACAACACGCTTTTATGCACTCTTTTTTAGTTATCTCCACCTGCCCAGTTCCCTTATTAGGCCGAGATATTTTAACCAAATTATCTGCTTCCCTGACTCTTCCTGGACTACAGCCACATCTCATTGCCGCCCTTCTCCCCAACCCAAAGCCTCCTTCGAGTCTTCCTCTCATATCCCCCCACCTTAACCCACAAGTATAGGACATCTCTACTCCTTCCCTGGCAACTGATCACATGCCCATTACCATCCCATTAAAACCTAATCACCCTTACCCCGCTCAACGGCAATATCCCATCCCACAGCACGCTTTGAAAGGATTAAAGCCTGTTAACACTAGCCTGCTACAGCATGGCCTTTTAAAGCCTATAAACTCTCCTTACCATTTCCCCATTTTACCTGTCCTAAAACCAGACAAGCCTTACAAGTTAGTTCAGAATCTGCGCTTTATCAACCAAATTGTTTTGCCTATCCACCCCATGGTGCCAAACCCATATACTCTCCTATCCTCAATACCTCCCTCTACTACCCATTATTCTGTTCTAGATCTCAAACATGCTTTCTTTACTATTCCTTTGCACCCTTCATCCCAACCTGTTTTCGCTTTCACTTGGATTGACCCTGACACCGATTAGGCTCAGCAAATTACCTGGGCTGTACTGCCACAAGGCTTCACAGACAGCCCCCATTACTTCAGTCAAGCCCAAATTTCATCCTCATCTGTTACCTATTTCGGCATAATTCTCCTAAAAACACACATGCTTTCCCTGCTGATCGTGTCCGATTAATCTCCCAAACCTCAATCCCTTACAAAACAACAACTCCTTTCCTTCCTAGGCATGGTTCGTGCGGTCAGAATTCTTAAACAAGAGCCAGGACTGAACCCTGTAGCCTTTCTGTCCAAACAACTTGACCTTACTGTTTTAGCCTAGCCCTCAGGTCTGCGTACAGAGGCTGCCGCTGCTTTAATACTTTTAGAGGCCCTAAAAATCACAAACTACGCTCAACTCACTCTCTACATTTCTCATAACTTCCAAAATCTATTTTCTTCCTCATACCTGACGCATATACTTTCTGCTCCCCGGCTCCTTCAGCTGTACTCACTCTTTCTTAAGTCCCACAATTACCGTTGTTCCTGGCCGGGACTTCAATCTGGCCTCCCACATTATTCCTGATACCACACCTGACCCCCACGATTGTATCTCTCTGATCCACCTGATATTCACCCCATTTCCCCATATTTCCTTCTTTCCTGTTCCTCACCCTGATCACACTTGATTTATTGATGGCAGTTCCACCAGGCCTAATCGCCACATACCAGCAAAGGCAGGCTATGCTATAGTACAAGCCACTAGCCCGCCTCTCAGAACCTCTCATTTCCTTTCCATCATGGAAATCTATCCTCAAGGAAATAACTTCCCAGTGTTCCATCTGCTATTCTACTACTCCTCAGGGATTATTCAGGCCCCCTCCCTTCCCTACACATCAAGCTCAAGGATTTGCCCCCACCCAGGACTGGCAAATTAGCTTTACTCAACATGCCCGAGTCAGGAAACTAAAATACCTCTTAGTCTAAATAGACACTTTCACTGAATAAGTAAAGGCCTTTCCTACAGGGTCTGAGAAGGCCTCCGCAGTCATTTCTTCCGTTCTGTCAGACATAATTCCTCAGTTTAGCCTTCCCACCTCAATACAGTCTGATAACAGATAAGCCTTTATTAGTCAAATCAGCCAAGCAGTTTTTCAGGCTGTTAGTATTCAGTGAAACCTTTATATCCCTTACAGTCCTCCATCTTCAAGAAAAGTAGAATGGACTAAGGTCTTTTAAAAACACACCTCACCAAGCTCAGCCACCAAAAAGGACTGGACAATACTTTTATCACTTTCCCTTCTCAGAATTCAGGCCTGTCCTCGGAATGCTACAAGGTACAGCCCATTTAAGCTCCTGTATAGATGCTCCTTTTTATTAGGCCGCAGTCTCATTCCAGACATCAGACCAACTTAGACTGTGCCCCAAAAAAAACTTGTCATCCCTACTATTTTCTGTCTAGTCATACTCCTATTCTCCGTTCTCAACTACTCATACATGCCCTGCTCTTGTTTACACTGCCAGTTTACACTGTTTCTCCAAGCCATCACAGCTGATATCTCCTTGTGCTATCCCCAAACCGCTACTCTTAACTCTTGAAGTAAATAAATAATCTTTGCTGGCAGGACTATGCTGAATCTCCTTAGGCACTCTCTAATCAGATGTCCTAGGTCCTCCCAATTCTTAGACCTTTTATACCTGTTTTTCTCCTTCTTATTCCATTTAGTTTTTCAGTTCATACAAAACCGTATCCAGGCCATCACCAATCATTCTATACAACAAATGTTTCTTCTAACAACCCAACAATATCACCCCTTACCACAAATCTTCCTTCAGCTTAATCTCTCCCACTCTAGGTTCCCACACTGCCCCTGATCCCGCTTGAAGCAGCCCTGAGAAACATCGTCCATTCTCTCTCCATACCACCCCCCCAAAAATTTTCACCGTCCCAACACTTCAACACTATTTTGTTTTATTTTTCTTATTAAGAAGGCAGGAATGTCAGGCCTCTGAGCCCAAGCCAAGCCATCGCATCCCCTGTGACTTGCACGGATACGACCAGATGGCCGGAAGTAACTGAAGAATCACAAAAGAAGTGAATATGCCCTGCCCCACCTTAACTGATGACATTCCACCACAACAGAAGTGTAAATGGCCGGTCCTTGCCTTAAGTGATGACATTACCTTGTGAAAGTCCTTTTCCTGGCTCATCCTGGCTCAAAAAGCACCCCCACTGAGCACCTTGCGACCCCCACTCCTACCCGCCAGAGAACAAACCCCCTTTGACTGTAATTTTCCTTTACCTACCCAAATCCTATCAAACGGCCCCACCCTTATCTCCCTTCACTGACTCTCTTTTAGGACTGAGCCCGCCTGCACCCAGGTGAAATAAACAGCCATGTTGCTCACACAAAGCCTGTTTGGTGGTCTCTTCACAGGGACGCGCATGAAAGGAAGGATATATGGAAGAAATAGTGACAAGCTTGGAAGAAAGGCTTCTTCGTGTGTACCTTGTTACATGGTTTTAATTTTTAAATCATTTGAATACATCATCTATTAAAAATCCCCAAAATAAATTTAAAAAATTAAAAACCCATAAGAAAAAACACTTAAGGGAAAATATATGAACTACATATTCTGCTAAGTGCTGTAAATGCTTGTTCTGTCAATATGATGGAATCTTTTAAATATATGTTCTTTATTTTCTTTAATGATTATTTTGATTAATATATGGAGTGCAGCCATCATTCATCCTTGGCTGCTTGAAACTTGGAGTTGATTTTCAGAGAAATTATTGAGATTACTACTTTCCACTTAAACATTATACCATAGTGCACATTGAATTGGTTTTGATTACTACCAAAAGGAGTAATTTTCCCCAACAATTTTTAGCATATAAATACAAGCAGAATTTCACTGAATGACAGCAGGATACATAGCAATGAAATATACAAAAATTGAACTAAATTTTTGTGTTTTGTGTAAAAGAATGGCTCTGGTCCCTGCTCTCAAGTTGCTAACACTAAATTAACTCAAAACATGTATTGTTTGCTTTCTATGGGCCAAAACCTGCACCTTATTCTTTCTCCATTTTTATTCTAGGCAGAAGTTATTACAGAATTCAGGAGTCAGAGAATTAAAGAATTTCTTAGCAACCACAGTCTCACTGAGGTTTATTCAATTTTAGAGAATTTAATTCAAAAGATTAAAATGATGAATGTAGCTCAGCATATGACCTGCAGTTGAAGACACCTGGCTCACAGCTTGCTTTAAGTTTGATACATGAGGTTATTTGGCATTTACTGCCATGAAGTTTGAAGGAAGCATACTGAAAAGAAGACACAGCAATAAACTTTTGTCATTAATTTCTCTCTCACAGTTTCTGACAAGCTGGAAAGAAATGTCATTTGTATTTCTTAATTGGTTTCATTTCCACGCAAATACAGACTTTCAGTAAAAGTTTCTAAAAAGCTATACACATGAAATTATTAACAACAAAAAGCACATACTGAGCCAAGGTGTGAATAGATAATTCTAACAGAAAAGTTACAAAAAAAGTCAAGATCAAAATATGATTAAGACAGGAGAGCAGTTTTTAGAGATGTTTTGGTAAAATAGATATGAGTTACTAGCCTATACTTTGTAAACATGCTTGATGTGGCCAGTATGGCATGTCATTACCCTTTTAGGAACACACAGATCCATATGTATTTACAATGATTAATTAAAAGAGAGCATTCAGGGGCCGGGTGCAGTGGCTCAGGCCTGTAATCCCAGCACTTTGGGAGGCTGAGATGGGCTGATCACCTGAGGTTGGGAGTTCGAGACCAGCCTGACCAACATGGAGAAACCCTGTCTGTACTATAAATACAAAATTAGCTGGGTATGGTGGCACATGCCTGTAATCCCAGCTACTCGGGAGGCTGAGGCAGGAGAATTGCTTGAACCTAGGAGGCAGAGGTCGCTGTGAGCCAAGATCACACACCATTTCACTCCAGCCTGGGCAAAAAGAGTGAAACTCTGTCTCAAAAAAAAAAAAAAAAAAAAAAAAAAGAGCATTTGGAGCTTCACTGGACAAGCACAACCAGCTCAGTGGATTTCTGGCAATACCAAGAACATTTTGAGACTCATGCCTGTGCTTTAACCATGGATGAGATTTTAGCTAGTGTCCTAAGGGAAGAACAAAATGATGAGCAAATTCAAACATCATCTTTTGGTTTAGCCTGATGGTTTCTATGACCAACCGTATGTTTATTTATGAAAGAATTTATATTATTTAATTAAAACAAAATAGAAATGAAGGTATATGGTATCACAATCATGTTCATTATTAGTTTTGTGTCTTGCTGTAGAAATACATTTAGTGAGTGCTTACCTATCATTGGAGTTGAATCTACCTCCACCTTAATTAGTTCTTGGGCTCAATTTCTGACCACACAACCTCACAACATAAAATGTAGTTTTGGTTACTTAGATTAGTGTAGGCCAGGAAACACTGGTGCAAGAAGAAAAAATAAAATAATAAATCCCTAGGATCAATAAGATATCGTCTGCTACCTCATTTTTTTCCCTAAAATATTCATGCTTTAGGAATGAATTTCATTATTTGAATACATACATATATGTATAAGCAGTCGGCACCTTGTATCCACGGGTTCCACATTCTTGATTTCAAGCAACTGAGGATCAAAAATATTTTAAAAGCCCAATACAAATAACAATACTACAATAAAAAGTAATACAAATATATATAATACAGTATAATGACTATTTACATAGCATTTACATTGTATTAGGTATTATAAGTAATCTAGAAATAATTTAAAATATACAGGAGAAGGTGTGTAGACTATATGTAAATACTATGTATCATTTTATATAAGGGACTTGAGCGTCTAAGGATTTTGGTATTATGGGGGTGCTAGAACCAATCCCTTAAAGATACCAAGGGAGGACTGAATATAAATATACATATATATAGCAGATACATAAATAAAATGAGGATACATATATTGAAATTCTATGGAGTTCTGCATAATTCATAACTCATTTTTACTTATCAAACTATAATCTATAGCTTTAAGTATTAACTGAGTATTAATTCTGCTAAATATCAAATTTTTCATATGAATGTACACCATCATTAGAGATGCAAAGACTTAGAAAGGAAATGAAAAGAAAAAAATAAAATATATTCGTGTTGGGGGAATGGTGTAATGAAAAAAATATATTTCCCCGCATCTTTCCTGAGAACTTTTTCAATTTTTTTTTTTTTTTTCTGAGACAAGGGCTCAGTCTGTTTCCCAGTCTGGAATGCAGTGGTGTGAACACAACAAGGCAGCCATGACATCCTGGGCTCAAGCAATCCTTCCATCTCAACCTCCCAAGTAGCTAGGACCACAAGTGCACACCACCTGGCCAGTTTTTTAATTTTTTTGTAGAGATGGGTCTCCGTATGTTTCCCAGGCTGGTCTCAAACTCCTGGGCTAAGTGATTCTCCCACCTCAGCCTCACAAAGTACTGGGATTACAGGTGTGAGCCACCATGCGTGGTCCCTGACTTTTTCAATTTTGCTTTCTAATCTTAGAGGAGAAAATAAACAAAATTAAAGAGAAATGTAAGCAAGATTATCAATAGTTTATACCTTCTTATTAGCTAAAATGGTACCATCACCAGATGAACATCTCTGTCTAATAAAGATTGACATGAGTTTGACAGATCCATTAGGCTCAGTTCCACTTTAATCCTAACTTTTCCCATATATTCATCCATACACATACTTTGTACATCATTTTATACAATGTGTATGTATGTGATATGGTTTGGCTGTGTCCCCATCCAAATCTTCATCTTGAATTGTAGCTCTCATAATTCCCACATGTTGTGGGAGTGATCCAATGGGAGATATTTGAATCATGGGGGTGGTTTCCCTCATACTGTTCTCGTGGTACTTAATAAGTCTCATGAGATCTGATGGTTTTATAAGGGGTTTCCCTTTTGCTCAGCTCTCATTCTCTCTTGCCTACTGCCTTGTAAGACGTGCCTTTCTCCTTACAACATGATTGTGAGGCCTCCCCAGCACATGGAACTGTGAGTCCATTAAACCTCTTTTTCTTTATAAATTACCCAGACATAAAGGTATGTCTTTATCAGCAGCATGAAAATGGACAAATACAATATGATATGTGTATATATTCATATATAGCAGGTACATACACACACACACACACACACACACACACACACACACATACACATACACTCCACTTAGGGCCCCTAAACTATGTATAAACTTGTCTATTCATTCAGTCCTCTTACATAGTCCCCCTGAGAGCAAGTGAAGATAATGTCCCATGTGTTCAACGTGCCTTGTATATTAAATCATAAAGGAAAAAGGGGCCTGCATATATCATTCAGAATGAATCTCTATTTATTCAGTTTGTGAATAAGGTAGACAGACTCTCCCTTGATTATCTGAAATATGAAGGCAGATTGATCTTCAGCAAGTGACTTGCATTTTGGAAAATATCAAACAACATTTCAATCTAACCTTACTTTCCTTCAGAAATATATGTAAGGGAAACATCTTGTCTTTGATGCCCACTGTGATAACAATATAAGTAACTAATTCTATTATTTGTAGTTTTATAATCTTTAATAATTGTGATAGTATATTCAAGAACTTGTCTAAAGATGTTGAACACCTTAACTTTGTTTCTAAAAGAAAAAATGCATGATGATTGGCCTAAAAGTGCTCAATGATTCTCTTCGTCTTGGAACTTGAATAGCAAAAAGTAATTCAGAATCAACTTTGTTGCCACTTAAATAACTTCTCTAAGATTTTTCTAGGAAAATGGAAGATTTCTCAAAGTGAAGATTTTTGCCTTGTCAATCAATATCCATTAGCAATTTCACTACGTGTACAAATTTAATTACTAAAAAGCAAAGTCATTACCCTTGATATGTAGGACATAAGGTTTAAATGGCGTATATTTTTATATTATAGATTGTTCAAATTTCATGCTTATAGCATATGTTCACTGTATCTTTGCTGACTTTCTGCCTGAATTAGAATTTTTTATTGTTTAAAGCTTTGAAGTAGGCTTAATTTAGGACTATAGTGGTGACAACATCAAAAGGAGGTTACTTCTAGATGAGAAACTCAATAAAAATTACAGTATGAGAGAGAAATGCAAATTCCTTCCTTTGGGATGTGCCATACTAGCCCCAGAATGAAATATTATTATTTTATTAAATATACATTAAAAGATATATCTTATTCAGGGGTACCTACCTCTAAACAACAAACTAGAACCTTGTGAAGAACATTTGAAAAGTATTTTTGGAGAAAAAAACATAATATTAGGAATAGAATTCTAAGGACATGTGGTACAAAATGTCACAAAAGTAACCAAAGAAGAAAAGAGCAGGTAAGGAGACAAAGAGAGGATATGAAATGCAGAAAAAGCCTGAAAATTAGTGAGCAATGGAAGAGTAAATGCATTAGCTTTGTTGAAACACTAATGACAACCTAGACATTTTTGTGCTGGAAATTTCACCACAGCTGGGGATTGGGGGTTAGGGGATAGGAGGACTCGGATTTGGGATTTGGACTTGCATTTTTATTAGCTGAAATCTCTACAGAATTCACTTGTTGCTCCGTGTTCTTCAGTTGATAATGCATATATTACCATGTATACTGCAATGAAGGGCCTTTGTTCTTGGATATATCTTTGATGTAATTTAAATATTGATAATAATATGTGTGTTTGTGGAGTGACATCATAAACATTCAAATTAAAGAGGAATGTTAATGTTTTTCTAAACCTCTAGATATTAGAAATTAATACTTTACTTATTTCAAAATATTCTCCAAGTACATAAAAAGCACTACAGTTGTTGTTGTTTTTCCCCAAAGCCAGAAGGTATTCATGATGGCATAGCATATTGTCCTAGTGAATTCTGTTGTTAAAATCCAACTGTCCTAAACACTGAAGTACTAGAGTCTAGGATAATTGGAAAGTATGATCATCCAATTGGCAGACAGCCTAGTAGTGGACATGATAGAGCAGTTAAATGTCTCACATTGTCCTAGTGTATAAAATGAGGGAGAAATAAGATATTTTTCTACACCCTGATTTTTTGTGTATTCCTTTAGGAAGAGAGAACAAGTGGGCTTGTCCTCATATATACCTGTATATCCTCAAAGATAGAGATAAACAGTTAAATCTGAATAACACCTGCATATCATAGGGCATAAGAATACTTTTAAGCAAGAGGTTATGGCTCAAAATCAAATCTCTATTTCTAATATCTAAAGAAACAGATTCTGCAATGGTAAGTAACCTATCTCTACTCATTTTATAAAATAATTCAAATGGTTTGCAAAGAAAAGTCTTGATAAAATGCTGTTGTCCATTTTTTTTTCAGTTATTTAAACCAGTGTGTGGGATGTCAACAAAACAACCATGCTAGATATTACTATTTTTTAATTTAATGTTTTATATATATATACACACACACACACACACACACACACACACACACACACACACATATTACTTTTTTGTGTGGTGCTGGATATTTTTAAATAGCAAAATATAAATAGGTAAAAAGGAATGAAGCTTTATGAATAAAAAATTCGTATATAATTTGTGTTTAATGAAAACAGCTAGATTTAGGACTAAAAAGAAGTCATGAGTTTCAGTAAAGGCATATTAAATTTGTATCTTGTAATAACCTAATTAAATGAGAAATGTGGACATTTTAATATGTATAATACCCAAATGGCACTTTAAAATGATTGGAGAGTTCATCTCTTGCGTATCACTTTATATTCTATATATTTCTCTTACAAATGCTGATACACTGGAAAATTGAGTCACTTTCCGTGATGAGTCTGAGCATGTTCTATGCCTCTTTTCTGCTCCACTAGACATTTATCATTCTTGGTGGCAAATCTGTAACTAATTTTCTCAGGCTACTGCTTTTCATACAGATAAATTCCTGAAAAAAATACCATTAAAAGGGCTGAGCATGCATAGATGAATCTCAAGAGGGAACAGTGATTAGGTATAAAATCATAGGAGACATTTGTGCCTATTCACTTTTTACTAGGCAAAGTCTATGCCAAGAATAAAGGTAATTTCCTTACGGAATTCTTACCACTACTCTGGAACCCTGTTGTCCACAGGTTAAATAATCTATTTAAATATGGTCTGGTTCACACTGATGTAGTAATAAATTTCTTCTATAGTTCAAGCTGTAGATAAAACTATCTCATAATTAATATAGTTTTCTCTCTGAAATGGTTACATGATTTAAAATGTGCAAATTATGCTAAAAGGGAAAAGCAATGAAATAATATTTATGTATCAAAATACATTCTCGAGTATATTCCTCTTCTCACTTTTCAGCATGTGAGGATGAAAACGTACCCTCTCGCCACACAATAGTCACATTTCTCTATATACACCTTGTAACAGTCTGTTCCGGCATTGCTGTGAAGAAATACCTGATACTGGGTAATACATAATGAAAAGAGATTTAATTGGCTCGGCATTCTCCAGGTTGTATAAGAAGCATAGTGGCTTCTGAGGAGGCGTCAGGAAACTTTCAGTTATGGCAGAAGGTGAAGCAGGCACCTCTGACATGGCCATAGGAGGAGGAAGAGAGTGAGTGGTGGGGTGCCACACACTTTCAAACAACCAGGTCTTGCAACAACTCAATCAGTCACAATTACCACAACAACATTAAGGGGGATGGTGGTAAACCATGAGAAACCGCCCCCATCATCCAATCACCTCCTACCAGGCCCCACCTCCAACATTGGGGATTACAATTGGACATGAGATTTGGGCAAGGACACAGATCCAAACCACATCTCTGTGAAAGGAAAATATCCTGGAACCCTGAAATCACTAAGCGAAAGGGAAATGTCAAGCTGGGAACTGCTTAGGGCAAATCTGCCTCCTGTTCGAAGATACCCCTTAGCTCATTGAGACAAATGCCTATCTGATTGTTTCCTTTGGAGAGGTTAATCAGAAACTCAAAATAATGCAAACGTTTGTCTCATATACCTATGACCTGGAAGCTCTCTCCCCTGGAGTCATCCTGCTTTTGCTTCGAGTTGTCTTGCCTTTCCAACCGATCTAATGTTCATCTTACATGTGTTAATTGGTATCTCATGTCTCCCTAAAATGTACTAAACCAAGCTGTGCTTTGACTACCTTGGGAACATGTTTTGAGGACCTCCTGGGGCTGTCATGGGCGTGTGTCCTCAACCTTGGCAACATAAACTTTCTAAAATAACTAAGACTTGTCTCAAATTTTCAGAGTTCACATCACACAGAGATCACTACTATATACGTTTGTGTTCCTTAGAGTAAGGCTGGTGTCTTCAGTGTATTACCTTGTAAAGTTCTGAAAGATATAAATTGCAGTTCCTTGCCTGCTGAGATATTGGGCAATTATACAACCACGTCAAACTACCTAGATTTGAGAATGAGGACTAAGCTCTAACTTTTTTATCTTGCCCAAATTCCTGTCTAAGGGGTCTGGGGAGTCACACCCTACAAACCATAAATTCCATCAAATGGGGATTATTTAACCTTGTATATCTTGACTTACTTTCCAATCTGACTCGGGAATAACAAGGAAGAAATTAAAAATATTTTACCCCAAAATATATTTCCTTGCCATATCTTGAAATGGCCCTGCAAAGCCATCCTTTGTGGGAAAAATCCACATTATATAGAGAATCTTCTTTCCTCTTTGTCTTCCTTCCTTCCTTTCCAGAACCAGGAGATAATCAACTAAGAGCCAGGCACTCTTTTAGGTCTTATTGTAAAATAAGAAACATTTTACAACCTGCTCTCTCTGAAGTTGGCTATCTGAGAGCTTCCTCTGCACAATAAAACTTGGTCTCCACAATCCTTTATGTTAACCTAAACATTTCCTTTCTATTGATCCCAGGCCTTCAGATAAACTCAGCCAATTGTCAACCAGAAAATGTTTCAATTTACCAATAGCCTGGAAGCCCCCACTTTGAGTTGTCCCACCTTTCTGAACCAAGCCAATGTATTTCTTAAATGTATTTGATTAATGTCTCATGTCTTCCTAAAATATATAAAACCAAGCTGTGCCCCGACCACCTTGGGCACATGTTCTCAGGACGTCCTGAGAGCTGTGTCACGGGCCATGGCCACTCATATTTGGCTCAGAATAAATCTCTTCAAATATTTTAGAGAGTTTGACTCATTTGGTAGACAAGAATAATTACATATAGAGTTGAAAAATGCAAAGATAGGCATGTCTGACCACAGAGAAGACAGGAAGTCTGACAACAAATCCATACTGGCAGTCAAATCTGGGAATTTAAATGGAATATGCAAACAGTTGTTAGAATGTACTTCACAGCCTTCTGTTATCATTGTATTAGGTTGGTTCAAAAGTAATAGTTGGATACATAACTCTGCAGTCTTCTAAACTGACTTCCTGTTTCAAGAACTATAAATCATAAAAGAAAGGAAGAAAGAAAATCTCACTAAAGCATTGCTACTTATGTTAATATGATAGCAACTCAATTTATTCAAGTGCTGATCAATGCTAAACAATCAGAGTGGTTCATGAATTATGTATTACAAAAGAGCCTGGTTCTTTTTAGTGGAATGTCACAAGGTTAACCAACTGGTATACATGGATTCCCTTAGGCAGAATTTCAGCTGTAGTGCTTACTGCTCCAGTTGATGGAAGAATGGCAAAATAGAGTTTTGTTTGAAACACATAATGAACTGCTCTCACGAACTTCAACCTTCAAAAGTCGTTATACATGAGAGTTTGATGCTGCAGACAATTATTGGATCTCCATTTGTCTGTCAATATCATTTCTTGTTGCTTTATTACTTAACCATATCTCAGAGATTATTGACAGCACAATTGTCATAGATTGCTCTGTTTATACAAATGCATTAGCAATTAAAACAACTTGTTATGCGTATTTCCTACTTAAGGGTTCTCTAGCCTGTTTCAAGTCTGTCTCTGTTTGTTAGAAATGCTTGCTTCTGTAAAACCTGAAGGCCTAGCCTCCACTTTCCCATATATGCCTCCTTCACGTAACTATTTCTCTAGTTTTCATTTTTTATTAAAATTCATGTCATTTTAAAATTGAGGGCAATTCCATTTGAAGTTAAAGTTGGAGTATTGATGAATCGAAACTGGCATTTTCCTAAGAGTTTCTAAGATGCAGGAATCTGTCTATACTACTAATGAGGTTATAAATTTAAACAATCAACTAACTCTAAGATCTTTTGGAACCCACTTTTACAAGAGATTTCTATCATTCTGCTCTAGTTATTAAAAATCTTGCTATTATGCAGAACTCTTAAAAATTTCATTATCATTAGCCTATCATGCCCTCAATAAAAAGGTGGCACTGTATCTGATAGCATCAATTCTATGTACAGCTCTTTTCACATGCAATAGTGTATCTTGACATTTCCAACAGTTACAACTCTTAGCAATGCCACACAATCATAATTCCTCATGAACGGAATCTATTATTTCAAAATGTAGTTCAAAATGTAGACTGTAGAAAAGTTAAATGAAGTAGGTATTCGATGTAGTTCAAAATGTAGACTGTAGAAAAGTTAAATGAAGTAGGTATTCGATTACACCAATATTAAATAAAATAAGGATGATCATCTTGAGGAAAAATGGGACCACATTGCAAAAGATTTATTGCAATGTTATTAAAATACTGAATCAGCCTCTGAGCAGTCTGTCAATTTATTTAATCAAACCTCACATCACCTGCTGCAATGGAGATTTCCTTCTAAACAAGCAGAAAAGGTTTAAAAAACAACTTACTGCCAGGCACGATGGCTCATGCCTGTAATCCCAGCACTTTGGGAGGCCGAGGAGGGTGGATCACCTGAGGTCAGGAGTTTGAGACCAGCCTGACCAATATGATGAAACCCTGTCTCTACTAAAAATACAAAAATTAGCCAGGCATGGTGGCATGTGCCTGTAATCCCAGCTACTTGGGAGGCTGAGACAGGAGAATCGTTTGAACCCGGGAGGAGGAGGTTGCAGTGAGCCAAGATTGTGCCATTGCACTCCAGCCTGGGCAACAAGAGTGAAACTCCATCTCAAAAAGAAAAAAAAATAAAAAATAATTTACTTATGGTAGTTATGGCCCCATTCTCCTAAAGGAATGTAGAATGTGGGTTTTTATTTTATTTCAGATATTCCTCTCCCATAAAGCTAATTTCAAGAGACCATGAGAGATTTATTTATAAATTCAATGAAACTAATAGCATATAATTATATATGACTATGTGAGCAATAATGATTTAACATCTACACAGATTAGACTGTTCTGAAATCAAATTGTTATATTTAGATTGGTCATTATTTGGGAAGATTCTCTGTCCTCAGTTTTAATGAATGGATATCATCATTCTCTTTATGTTAAAACATGTGTCTTCTATATTATATGTATAGTTATATCACAACTTATAATTGTCTTGCAAATGTTTTATAGTCAAGGTGTAAAATTAGAAAATCAGAATGTTTATGCTTCTTCTGAACATTAGGTATAACATACCTGTAAATATTTGAAATAATTATTGTATACTGCCCAGTAACAGGAAATTGACTTCAGATTCACAGATGAGATGTTTCTACATCCCAAGAACAATTTCATTCTCCATTCCTCCCTAGAGTTAAACAACTTATCTTAGGTTTTGTTTTGTTTTGTTTTGGTAATTTCTTCTTTTATGCTACCTGAGTATAACAACGTGAAATATTAAGAAATAATATATGAATGTTTTACCTTTAAGATGGTAGTATTTTGTAGGACACTACAATAGTCTCCAAAACCAGTGGATATGCCAAACAATAAATTTTTCTAAGGCAGTAGAAGGAAAGAAAGACCAATTCTTGGAGAAATAAAATGACCTAAAAGGTTATTGGGGGATTTTATATTCATTCCATAGAAAGAAACGTACTTTACAGTAGGGAGATCCCTATTTGGGCATTCTTATTTGAATCTGTATTTCCCAGATGTGTGTTGGCTCCTCCAATCAAAACTTGCTGATAAATCAGAAGTGTTTTTGAGCTTTGGAGCATAATTTTGATGAATTGTAATAAGCAAAAGTAATTTCTCTTCTTACAACCCATTTCCTACTTATTGAAAATGAGAATTATCAGATAATTCAAGGACCAACTAAATGAACAGACATATAGATGAGTTCCTAATGATTTCCCAGGACATGGATACATGGACCAAAGCATTAAAAAAGAGAATTCCTTAAAGGAAAAAAAAATCTAATACTTTATCTAAAACAGTGACATAATTGTTGTTATGGTGTGTTTATTTTTATTTGTTAACAAAAATGAGAATAAACTGCTACAGCTATTAAAGCAATTGAAAAAATATTCAAGAGCAAAAATGTGTTGCTCAGAGTTATATATCCTAAAGATCCTATCACTGTAAATTTATTAAATCTATATAATCTCTTCATTTTAAATGCAATTTTTATAATGATTACATATTTCCCTACTTAATTCTACTGGATATAGCTGTAATAACTTTAATTTCCAAGAATGTAGTATAACTGGAAGTCTCACACTCAAAATAATTGGGACTTTAAGATAACGAAAGTGATCAAGGCCTTATATGCAGTTAAATTGCTTATATATATTTCTTATATATATTTCTTATATATATTTCTTATATATATATCATATATATATAAGCAATATATCTTATATAAATATATAAGCAATTTTCAAACTAAGTAAAATCAGCATTTTTTAACTCACATTAATCATTCAGCATAACTCATTATTTGCCATTACGAGTACATATTTGGAGGGCAAAATGATATCCGACATGATATAAAATGAATTCCATTTTTAGCTTGCTGGGTCATAATTTCAACATTAAATGATAAAGGGAAAGTTAAGCATTTGAAAACGATTATCATGATTTGATTAGATATGAATTATGTACAAACCTGTCTGTGTGTGGAGGAAAAGTTAAATATTAAAATTAAACTCAACTGGACACAGACAATGGTCACCAAGTCCCAAAACAGGTTGAGTGAGCCCCTTGAGGCATTCATCCAGCACTGTTTCGGAGAAATCTCTATCTCAATCTGTTCTTGTATATTAGTTATTGAAAGACAACAGACAATAGCAAAAAACAAGTTGACCTTTTTGTGTTCCTTGAGCCCAGTCGTGAAGGGTCCTTGTGACTGGGCCTCATGCCAAACAACTTACAAAAAGAACTAGGAGCCAGGCACGGTGGCTCACGCCTGTAATCCCAGCACTTTGGGAGGCCAAGGCACGATCACCTTAGATAGGGAGTTCAAGACCAGCCTGACCAACATGCAGAAACCCCGCCACTACTAAAAAATACAAAATTAGCCAGGCGTGGTGGTGCCTGCCTGTAATCCCAGCTACTCAGGAGGCTGAGGCAAGAGAATCACTTAAAACTGGGAGGCAGAGGTTGTGGTGAGCTGAGATCTTGCCATTGCACTCCAGCTTGGACAACAAGAGGGAAACTCCGTCTCAAAAAAATAAACAAATAAAGAAGAGCTAGGGTCCCAGACCACCCAGACCACCCTAAAGCTTCATGAGACCTCTCCTCATCTGTGCATGAACAGGTTACCAACTATGGAGCTCAGGCTGTTGCTTCCCAGTCTGGTGATGCTTCCTCCATAGTCTGGTGAGTGTATATATATACATATATATATCTTTTCTCTTTTCCCCTTCCAATTGCAATTTGCTTATTATGTCATTTGTTTATTATATGATTTGCTTATTATATCTGTATTGTCATATACTTGGGATAAAGGCTGTTTACCCTCAAAAGTATTGTGTGTGCCTTTTCGTCTCCCCTCATGTGTCTCCCACACAGAACACTGTCACAAAATATGCTTAATATATTAAAATAAAGACATCTGGGTCGTTGTCTTTCTCATCAAAAAAAGTTTCGTATTTTTAAGTGCAATAAAATATGAAATACAAGGGTGTATGTCCTCTATTGCACAAAACCATAAACTTTATGGAACTTATATCTATTCTTTATTTAGCAGTTTGCTTAGGTAACCTGTGCTATACATTTTACTTCTTTGAGGTACAGATAGTTTTTTTATCTTCAATAGACAAACGTTTCATAAACACTATCAATTAGGCAGTTATTACCATTTCTGCAGCCCAAAGAATATTCCACTTCAAAGACGTGAGGAGAAGTGGAGTCTCTAATTAAGGGTCAATGTTCTGGATTTAACTGTATATAACCATGCATATTTAATGTTAATATGCAGGTCATTCATAATGTTTGTAATTTCATATCAATATTTAATATGCAATTCCTGAAATGATATATCTTTATTATATTTTTATTTTATTTTTACTATTATTTTAAACAATATTTTTAATCAGTTATACCATAAGAAACAAGAAAGTCAAATGTATTGGTATTAAGCAACCTTCAGTCAAAATCTTCCTTACTAAGTTTGGTATAAAAGAGGGGTTTTCAACAAAAATTTAAGACAAGCTACATAAGTAATTTCTGGTAGCCACAGTAAAAGTAAAAGCCAAAATGAGCAGGTGAAATTATCTGTTTTATTTAATCCAATATGCCTAAAATATTCAAATTTCAACATGCAATCAATGTGAATATTAATGTTTTATCAATGAGCTATTTTACATTGTCTTTTTCATAGTAAGTGATCAAAATCTGGTATGTATTATATACTTATGGCATATCTTAATTCAGACTAGTCATGTGTCAGGTGCTTTAAAGTCACACATAGCTACTAGTTACTGTACTAGACAGCATAGGCATAGAATATGTCTGCAATGGTGTTTTACTTTTGATAGATGTAAGTGTATTAAACCCATGAAGTTCCAGCTCTGTGATATTTTTGTTTTCCTTTCTTTCTTGCATAGGTGTTATTTGGGAAGAAAAAAAAATGTTCTGACCATAACTTAACATTTTTTCTTTAGTCTTTGAAGTCTCAATACGCCAGATGGTAGAATTTCTTTGGACATTTTTTTTTTTTGCTTCTATAATATGAGGGTGGGGGTTGTAAAAGCTTTAGCATAGCTGAGCACATACTGTTCAGTAATGGCAGAATTCCAGGGTGAAAAAACACAGGCAGCCATGGCATCTGGGTGGCTTTTTTTTTTTTTTTTGCAACCAAATTAAGAAAAGACTTTTAGAGAATGAATTTCTAACATAAGAAGAGTCAAACAGGGGGAGGTTTAAATCGAGTATTCAGGACCCAATGAAAGGTTAATTTTGTTAAATTAAATAAGCAGGAGCCTATTGGATTGAGGCTGTTTCCGTACTTTGAATTCCTACCAAACAAACCACAAACTACAACCTCTTTTAGTATATAAACCAACTGAAACCCAATTTAGATGTATATTTTGTAGCAAAGAGCGAAGTTTCAGCCAATCACAAGACACAGAGCTTCAGTCAATCACAAGCAGCAAACTGATCAGACCATGCCAAATGAGGCAGGCATCTAGCTCTAGCCAATCAGGTGATTACTCTGCTTTTGTATTCAGACTATAAGAGCTCACTGTCCACACTACTATGCAGAGTTCTCTGAACCTGTTCTGGTTCTGAGTGCCGCCTCATTCATGAACTTGCTGAAATGAACTACTAAATTTAATTTCTCTAAAGTTTTTTTTTTTCCAATAGTTTTAAGTCTAACCAATTAGAGCTACATGTAACAAATCATATTTCTCTTATATCAATAAAGAAGCCTGTGATGAAATGAATAATTGACTCAGACTGTATTAATGAAAGTAGCCTAAGATCATTTACAATCATAACTAAAATTATATCCAGTGATGTAGCATTGTATAATAATCACTCTTTAAAAAGCTGTCTAAGATTAAGAGGTAGCCCAACCCTCTAAAGGTCAAGAGGTAGTCTAACACTGGTAGTCCAACCAAGTGCTTGTGATCCTCTAGAGGAGCAAGTACTACATGCGAGCTGCACTCTCAGAGTTTTTGTAGAAGTATAATAAAATCTTTCTCAATATTATGTGTAAATTATTTAAGTAAATTTTTTTGATCTTTTGGAAGTGTTAGTTAATATTAGACTATTTCTTTTTTTTTTTTTTTTGAGACTGTGTTTCAGCCAGGCTGGAGTGCAATAGTGCGATCTTGGCTCACCGCAACCTCTGCTTCCCGGGTTCAAGCGATTCTCCTGCCTCAGTCTCCCTAGTAGCAGGGATTACAGGCATGCGCCACCACACCCGGCTAATTTTGTATTTTTAGTAGAGACCGGGTTTCTCCATGTTGGTCAGGCTGGTCTTGAACTCCCAACCTCAGTTGATTCATCCTTCTCGGCCTCCCAAAGTGCTGGGATTACAGGTGTTAGCCACTGCACCCGGCCCGAACTCTTCCAAATTTTCAAAAACTAGACTATTACTAAAACGGTGAGCTTAACAAAAATGGTCTAGTAAGGTGCATAAATAAAGTAAGCTATTCAGTTGGTAGCTTCTTGATCAAATGTTCCCATCCTCTCTAAGATCCTTTTTTGTTTGTTGTTGTTGTTGTTGTTGTTGTTTTTGACAGAGTCTTGCTCTGTTGCCCAGGCTGAAGTGCAGTGGTGCAATCTCTGCTCACTGCTGCAACCTCTGCCTCCCGGGTTCAAGTAGTTCTCTTGCCTCAGCCTCTTGAGTAGCTGGGATTACAGGCATGCACCACCACACCCGGCTAATTTTTGTATTTTTAGTAGAGACGGATTTTACCACTTTGGTCAGGCTGGTCTCGAACTCCTGACCTCATGATTCTCCCTCCTCAGCCTCCCAAAGTGCTGGGATTACAGGCGAGAGCCACCGTGCCTGGCTCTAAGATGCTTTTTATAGAGTTATAGTTATCATATATCCAGATTTTAAAATTATTCATTAAGTAAAACAAAATTTAATTTGGGTCTTGAGAAGGACAACTTGAGTTTGATATCATGTTTAACACAACCCAAAATGATGGTAAAACACATTTTTAGAGGTCTTTTGAACTCTGTTAATGCAGCTTTAAGAAACAGTGCTGTGTAAAGAAACTGTATATTTAAAATATGTAGTTTTTTACTTTGCAGTTTACATGACTATTTGAAAATTCCCCTCATATTTAAAATAAAGTGCTATATTTTTTTCTGTAGTCTAAAAAATGCAGAGAAAGTTCTCAAAGTCATAAATTCCTTAAAGTTGTAATTTTGTAGTTCACTCCAATTTATTTCTGGGGTTTATTTTGTATTGTTTTTAAGGAAGCACACATCTTAAGTTTTAGGTGCAGCATTCAAGGTGGAAATGCTCTTCTCTTAACCAGTAGGGTGAGCCAAGATACCATTACAGTAGGATTTTCATGTGACACAGTGTCAGCCCTTAGTAAAATTCAAAAATAAATAAAATAGTAAGCTAAAGTATTGCGTGCCTTACATAAATTTCTGGTGACTCTTGCTTGCTCTGACACAGTTCCATCCAACCATATATTTCCTAGATAAATGTATTATTTCTGACAAGATACTCATTTCTAATCTTACAATATTACAGGGTTAAGTGTGATGATTCACAGTGTTAATAGGATCTAGGCTGTCAACCATAACTAGGGGTCTGTCATCTAAGCACTGCTGTGGTTTTGACAGAATAAACATGGCAGGCTCAAATTCATCACACATCAAAGTTTACAGACTCACAGTTTCATATTTTGAATATATTATAAAATTCTACTGCATCTTCTATCAATCCTGCAATAATTGTGTTACTTAAATTTAAATATTTGTAGAATTAATACTTATTTTTTTAAGGTGAATGAAGCAACAGTTGGAAAGCCAAGAGAAGCCACTTGTTGTGAAAATGTGTTTTTTCCAGCTATTTTCAACCTGAAATTGATAGTACATGCCATCATGTTAATGCTTCTGTAATTATTAACAAACTTAACGAAATTTGCTATACTGTTCCAAAGCATTTCATATTTAAGTTTTAAATAAGAATACATATTTTTGTAGGCTCTTAGTCATGTACTAGCTTTCACATGCAGTCAAATGACTCCAATTCAAGTCATCTGCCCATTTGCCTTAAGCATCTCTGATACTTCTTTGCTTCTTAATAAAGCACATTGGTCATCCTATTAGTATGATTTAAAAGGTTTTTAATTTAATACAACTATCCCATCTTATCACTCATTTTTAAATACTCCGTATTATCCTTGTGACAACAAGAGCAAAAACTATCACACTATTCACTTCATTTCGGTGACATTCAGACAAATGATTTCAGATGTCAATGTGTACTTCAGCAATTTACTAGTTATGTCAAAGAAATATGGTAGCCTTCTGGAAAGTGATGGTTTAATCTGTTGAAGAAATTATAAGATCTCAAAGTCTAGGTGAGCATATATGCAAATTTATGCTTCATATAGAAGTATTCTTATCTGTAAACTAAAACCTTTATTTAGTGTTTAAAACCTATTCAATTTTATTTCTCTCTACATCCCAACTCCTTAAGTGCATAAGAGTTAGACTGTGGTGTCAGGTAGGCCTGGGTTTCGGTCTTGGCTTTGCCACATAATGGATTTGTGACATCATTGAAAAAATTGTTAAACTATTCTAAGTCTCAGTTTCCCCATTAGTGAAACAAAGATAATAAACTGTACCTACCCCAGAGTATTGTTGTAAAGATAAATTGAAATAAATGATGTAAGGTACTCAGCCCATTGGGTACTTTAATTTTCTGTAATAAAGCCATTCTATTCAGTATTTATAAAACAACATATTTTTGGTCTATTTTGCTATTATTCTAGCCACTGCTGCAAATTAAATAACCATCATATAATCATCATGGCTTGAGATCAAATCAAGTTCTCACTTCTGCTATGAAACCAATTTTGAGTTATGTGTGCATATATGTGTATGTTTGTATGTATGTGTGTGTGTGTGTGTGTGTGTGTGTTATTGGCTCAGCCAAAGTTGTATTTTATTGTGCTATTCTCTAGTTTCCAGTACCTTATTTATTAGTGCCTAATTGTATATTACATCATACTAATGATGATGTGTCCATGTGCATTTCATCTTCCCAATTAAGCTTCAAGTTATTAGTGAAATTGGAATGAGTCATAGATCTCATTGTAGCCTACAATGATTAGCCACATAGTAAGTGCTTAATTGATCAACAGGAGATGAATTATGTAATTGCTACTACTTCCTATCCCTATCTCACTCCTCGTATGTCCTTGTCATATGAATTCCCCTCAGTGGAAAATGTGTTCTGGGGAGGGAAACATGTACAGCTGTGCATGAGACACATGTTTTCATTTTGGAGTCAGATCTCTCTCAAGTTTCCTGAAAGGTATTCAAGCAGGGGCAGAGCTAGGTTTTCTGTGCCCTGAAAATTATTTAATATGAGGGGGACTCTTCAGTATCTTACTATTATTATTTTACTAATATCATTTTTGCAATTTTACAAAATCATGTGACCCATTTGATACATTGGTAGAAGATCCAACTCTCTCTGGAGCTTGAAATATGTGGTGTGGATTTTATTAGTATTGAAGGAATTCAAAACACACTGCTCCAAAGTATGCCACTTTGTGCTAAGAATTATTTTGAACTAAAGAAACTTGAAAAACAATAGGTGCATGATCGGTCTGACTTTCATTCTGTTTCTTAAAAGGAAGATATGAAATTTCCATGTGAAAGATGTCTTCCCTATACTGGAAGGACATTTTTATCACCAAGAACAGGAAACTGAGACTGAGAAAAATCTGTACAAACAAACCTGGTTAAACTAACTTTATCTATCCAGTCACTTCTCTACCCAAATAACTAACCTAGCCAAAGCCGCTTTGCCTTGTCATATTTTCACAATTTATTACACTTTGTCCCATTCAGCATATAAATAACTCAGGGTCTTTGGGTCTTCATTTCTTTATGATGGCTCCTGTGCCACATAAAACTTGTATTGAAAAAACTTGTATCATTTTCTTCTGTTTATCTGTCTTACATGGGTATAATTTTCAGTCCCGAAGCCAAAAATCCCTAAGAAGGTAGGGGCAAAATTTTGCCTCTCCTACAGGATCAAGTTAAATCCTCTTCTATATCCAGCAGTTGCTCCTGGTAAAATTCCCAACTTGTGCTGTCATTTCCAGCCTTTTTTACCCCATGATCTCAAATGATATTGAAGGGGAAATCTTTTTAGCTAAGGTATTGTTCTCATTTGACTCTTTTTTAGTACCAGGTTAATTTTTATACATTCCGAGTAATACAACATCAACAACAGCAACAATTATCAACTTATGATTTGGAGACATCTGTATTTGTTTCCTATTGCTACTGTAACAAATTACTACAAACTTTGTCACTTAACACAAATTTCCTAGGTTACAGATCCAAAAGTCAGAAATCTGTAAGTCTCACTGGGATAAGATGAAAGTGACAGCAGGGTGCATTCCTTTCTGGAGATTCTGGGAGATAATCTATTTCCCTCCCTTTTCTAGCTTCTACAGGTCAGCTACACTCTTGGAATCTTGGTCCTGTTATATCTTCAGAGCCAGCATGCTGGGCCAAGTCATTGTTCACCTTCCTCTGCCTTCCTCTTCTACTTTGAAGAGTTCTTGAGATTATATTGGCCCATCAAGATAATGAAAATAATCTCCCTACTTTAAGGTCAACTGACTAGCAAACTTAATTATATCTGCAACTATAATCCTCCTTCACTTTGTAATCTAACATATTCATGGTTTCCATAGATGATGTGGACATCCTTGGGGAAGGGGCATTATTCTGCCTACCACAACATCCTTTGGGAAATCGCTGAGCAACCGTTACCATCAATTCATGTAACAAGGTCATACAATAAATAATAATATTTCTGGGTCAGTGATTCCTTCCTTTATTCAACAGATACAGTTGGCTATTGTTATTCGAAGTAGTCATGTTCTATGAAGTAGCTGTGAACTATGAATTAGCTAATTTACTAAAACATTGCTCCTAGGGGAAACATGTACATATGTACACATATCTCACATAGATTATCAAATTAAAGCCTAAAAAAACTTTTCCTGGTAGATTCTATTTTTTTTTTTTACTTTAGAAAAGAGAAAATGGCCTTCATAAGTTTTAAGTGACTTGCCTGAGGACACCCACTAACAGATATCAGAGTTGGGATTTAAATCCCATTCAAGGGGGTCTCAGTCAGAGCTTCTTGCACTACATTGCACTGTTTCCTGCCATCTCTATCTTCTGGTCATTTCTGTATTAGAGCTGGAACAGGGCAGAGCAGGGCCTTGCTGGAGCTCAGCTGGAAACCCGAGCATGAGGCACATCACATTTGTGGCTGCTCTGTCCATGTCCGTGAATGACTGAAAAGCTTCATGAGTATTGATTGTGAGGTTACAAGTAAATTTTAGAGAGTAGCGGCATTTGCAAATACAGAATCTTCAAATGGTGAAAATCAACTCTATTTGTGAAGCACCCACTGTGTACAATGCACCATGCAGGCCTGCTGACACTGATTTTATCCCAGTGAGGCCCACTGTAGATCTCCAACCTCCAGAACTGTAAATTTGTGTTGTTTTAAACCACTAAGTTTGTAGCCATTTATTACAAATGACTACATTTGTCATTTGCAACAGGAAGCAGATACAGATGTCTTCAAATCATAAGTTGATAATTTTTGCTGTTATTAATTTTCTGGGGAGAGAAGCAGATTCCTTGGGCTCTTATAACTTAGGGAATTGAACAATAAACAAGTATTATGATAAATGGATATTCATGACAATTCTATATAGGCGTGTGTGAGAGAGTATGTGTGTGCATACCAAATCATGAAACACCTACAATCAGATCAAGACCTCCAGAGAAATAAACATGCAAAAATACACTGAGTGACAATATCAATGAAGCAGCCATGTGATCTCATTTTCACTGACCTTGAAAATGTTCATTTTCTCATGCTATTCCTGGCAAGTAGGCTTAGAAAAAAAATGAGTAAGGCTTAACACAACTCTGAAGAATTAGCATAGTCAGCTGCTCAGCTGAGCAAAATTTTAATGTAAAGTACTGTTAATCGAGAGAGTGGTACCATGCTATACAAACAGTGTTGCTGCTCCTTTTTATAACTGCCCTCATTCTGCCAAAAATCCTAAGAATCACTCATTAGCACTCTTAAAATGACTTGAAGATGTTATCCCTGCAAATATTATAAGCGTGTTTCAAGAAAACTTACCTAAATGAACAAAACTTGTATACACACATCTAATGTTGAGTTTCAAAAAGTAGAGCAAAAGTTGCCTAAAATGCATACATTCTCTGTAAAAGTAAAAAATGAAGAAGAAAAATGAAGAAAGATTTAAGCTTTCTGTACTATTGGGATTTAATTACATTAGATAAAACATTTTATAAATATTTTGCAACATGATCAGTTCCTTTGGAATGTTTAAACTGAAATATTGTAAAGATGCCAAGTCTTCCAGTATCTTCATCTTAAAAGAAAAAAAAAAAGCCCTGAAGTTCAACTTTCAATAAAGAGACAATTTTTTTTTATAACTGGTGATAACAGGTACGCAGAAGAGGGCCACAATAGTTTTAATAGTCTATTGAGTCCACAGGGAAACACTACTCCATTTTGTTTCCAGGAACAAGCATAGGGCTAATAATAACAGTAATATTCTTTATAAAGCACTTATTTTCCCTACCGAGACACTCAAAATATGACAGTCTAAATCTGATTATAAATAACAACTTAACCTTTTTCATTACTATAATGAAAGATTTGTGAAATATTCATTTAAGTTTTGGGAGGTCAAAAATACTAATGGAAATAAAGGTATTTCTGAATTTGCCAAACTGGAAATATTTAGATCTGAGCTTTAGTTTAAGTTCCCTCAAGAAACTAGTCTAGGAATACTCCTATATGTTTCTTACTTTTAGAAGTTTATGCACTATATAATTGAAGTGAGATTTATGTGATGAGTTTGTTTGTACTTGATGTCTGTCCTTCCTTCCTTCCTTCCTTCCTTCCTTCCTTCCTTCCTTCCTTCCTCCCTTCCTTCCTTCTTTTTTGAAACATTTAATATAAGCAGCTAACAGGAATGAGGCCTGCTGTAGAAGCAATTATAAATGCCTTTATTCAAACATTTAAAATGATATTTTCAGTATTATATGGTTATATATTGTTGGAAGTAGCATGAAATAAATTTCATAATGTTGACTACTCTAATTCTACATTAAAGCAAACTGAAGTTCATGAAGTGGAAACAATTTTGCATATACTACATGGTCATTCAACAATAGAGTTAAAGCTAGGATTAATATTTCCTTACGTCTGCTCGGGTGTTCCTTCAGCTATACTGTGTTTTCCTCTATTCATGCAACAGGTATACACTGATTGCCTACTACTTTCCGGGTATCATGTGAAGGCTATGAAAAAAAAATCAGGTTACCTTCAAAGTTTACTGTGATTGTGGGGCTGGCTTACCTCTTTGTCCTCAAAGTTAGTATAAACTCTGTGAAGGCCAATACCATTTTTGTCTTGCTCACCATTATTCCCTGGCAACTAGCACAATGCTTGACCCATGATAGATGCTATACAGTTTTGTTGTACAAATGATGTGTATAAAAAGATGTATTAACAAAAGTAATGAAAGGCAATGTTCATTGAATGTCAGTGTTTTGGAACTCAGAAATTATTTCCAATATTTCAAGTGAAGAAGGCTTTGTTTATCAAATAAGTACATTCTTCACAAATGATTTTAACACACACTTCCAGCATGCTAGGTCTAAATTAGTGTTTAAGAGATCATTTGAATACTCAAAGATTTTTTATGTATTTTTGGTGCCAGAAAATAAAAACTGAGAATCTAGAAATTTTGAATAAGCCCAGCTGGGCAGAAGTCAATTTTATTGTATTTATGTATTCAACTCAGAATATTGTGTTAACTGTCAGGAAACAAAAAAGCCAAATGCCATTAAAAATAAATGACTTAATTTGGATTTACTGAAATAACATAACTTGAAGATTTTACATATTTGATGAGGGTACCCTCAGTCCCACAAAAGCTATGGAATTTTGGTTATTTGTCCCTTTTGGTGTAATCATGCCTTTATGATTCTGATCCTGTTCCAACCCATTTAACACGTCTATTCTACATTGTGAGCATCAAAGTTTGATCTCAGTAAAACCCAACAGAGAAACTATTTAATCGATCACAGACCTTACTGGAAGGATTTCTGAACAAACTATAGCTGAGTCTTTTGCTTCCTTTTCTGGGTGATAAACATTGGCCTCTCATTACATTGCACTAGGAAGTTTGGCACATCTTCACTTGATCATAACAATTACAAAAAATTGCTGTGGTCTCTCATTGGTTTTCTCTCAGAGACATGCAAAATGTTATAAAAAGAATTCAAGTAAAACGATGCAAGACCTTTTTTAGAGACCATAAACCTGCTGTCATTGAAAGAATGTTTGGGCTAGCGGCTAACATATTTCCTTACACGGAATTTTTTCTCTTTATCTTTTACTACCAATTTCTCTGTCTCTCCCATGCCCACTCAGATAAATAATTGCAATCACAAGGAGAGTTCAGGCATCTCTTCCAATGCAATTAATTTTACCGAAGTCTTACTATACCTTCATTTCCTTATTAAGGCATGGCATACCAACAAGAAGTACCTTTCCACAGCCTCTAGGTATTATGCTTGATGTTTTTGTACACTACTGCCTAGTACAGTGGAAAGAAAACAAGTTATGGTCTGAAGTAAACATATTTGAGGCAGGATTTGTGCTTACTAAATGCATGTCTTGGGGAAATTGATCACAATAGAGCTCAATTTCCCCATGTGTAAAATGAAAAGGTGATAGTTATTCACACTGAATTTTTGTGAGGATTTAATCAGATTAAAAAGGTGATTGAAACTTGTTCAGTTCTTACAAGTAAATTTTGTGGATCTGGATAGTTTTTCTTTTAAAGAAGCAGAATGATTCTGAAATAGAAACTTTATTTAAGTCCAAGAAAACTAAAATACCCTTGAACAAACTGAAGATTGCTCACATAATTTGTAAAAAGTCGTTAAAATAATACCTAGTCTGAGTCACTTTATGAAAGCTCATTTTGCTTCTTTGTTTCAATTCAACACACTGTATGCCACAGAGGTGAATATGATTTGTTCATTCAAATAAAAATCCCATACTAGGTATTTGCTCAGGGTAGGCATAGCTGAAATCAGTGTTTCTCAAAGCTAAGTTCAAAAGCCACCTGCATTCAAAGGTGCTGAGGTACCTGTTAACAACGTAGTTTCCTGAACTTTACTTCTGACCTGCCAAATTGCTGTTTCTAGCTGTGGAACCTTGAAATCAACATGCTTTCAAGAGCCTCAGATGAGCTTCCTGAACACTAAAAGTTTCAGAGACCCACTGACCTACGGAAATACCATGGCTGGTTATTATAGAATTCCAATAGAGGCCTCGTGAGATGCAGGTAGAAACCAGAAAAAGCATTTCAAGTATTTTTGAATCTAGAATCCAGTATTGCAAGAAGGAGAACACAATCCCTCTGTGTAATTACCACTAAGAATAAAAGTATCCCCATGCAAATATTGTGCAACTTTGTTTTGCTTCATTCCTTATATCAGTTTTTACCTGTGAGCTCTATACCCATGGAGTGGTTAGTTACAGAGACAGGGCTTGGAAAGGCTGCTATTGTCGGTAAATTCTCTGTATGTGATATAGCACACACATTGCACTTAACCCCACGATAGATAGAATTTTGAGCGATGGAATAATATTAAGAAAGGAAAACAAAAAAAAGAAAAGTAATTTATCTAAATAGAGAAAATAAAATGACAATTTCAGCTGGAATTAACACTTTACAAATTAATAAACGATTCATTACTCATGAAATTAAATATTGGGTAAGAAAAATTCTCAAAGTGTATTATGTGAAAAAATATTGACTGTTAAAAAATGAAATGATCTGCTGCATTGTTTCCATCTCTGATTTCTGTCTCTATAACTGTAGTTTCACACAAATATCTATATTTTCCTATAAGCTAAATTGAGTGGTCAATAGGTGAATGAATAGAACAAATTTTTTTTCACATAACATAAAAATGAGTATTGAAGCACACTAAGAAAAAAATTGTATTATTAAAGATGCACTAGTATATTTATAGTTTTTAAAACTAGATGAATGTGTAAAATAGGAAACATGGAGGTTTGTTTTTCCTCTTCATTTTCAGACATAAATAAATTCATTTGCATTTTCTGAAAATGTCTAACTTTACTACCACAAGCCTTATTTTCTATATGAAACTGAATCGTATCTTTTAATCTGGTCTCACTTTAACTTCACTTTATCAGAATATAGAAAAACTGCCATCGTTTTTGTACTTTTCCAATGCCCAATGACAGTTTGGTCTAAAAATGTCTTTCATTACAGAAGTATTACATACAAAGTAGCATATTGGCAAAAAGGAATTAAAGAGATAGATATTTCTTATTGTGGATCCAAGAGCCACCTAAAGGAACATTTTACTTTTAACATGCTCCCCAGGTCATTCTAATTCAGATTATTATAAAATCATGCATTTATAAACATATCTAATGGAAACAAAGCATCTTTGAATGACCACGTGTAAATGATTCATCATAAGAAAAGAAAATAAATGAACTTAGTGAGCATCAAATTGTATTCTATCATGCACACATGAAACACTTGCAAACAGCACCTTGACATTGTCCTACACATGTTTATAGCCAGCTTTTATCCTAGCTGGATGAGTCTAAATCAGATTCACCTGCTACAATTCCAAAATGGGTACGGCCTCCCAGTATTCTAGTCATTTAACTATTTTTCTGTACAAAACAAACCACCCCCATCTTTGTTGAAATATCCGGATTAACTGTCTCATCATTAAAGGGGCTACCTGCCTCATTTAGACTCCTACTACCCCTAAAGAACTGACCCATTCAACAATGACCATCAGTTACCTATTCATCTGAAAATCTATCCTGCATATATTCATACATACAAGTATATTGCTCTTCCATTGCCTCCAGCTTCCTGTATAAATGCTCTGCAGATATTTAGAGAATATAAATTAGGTAAGGTGGATGAAACATGGTAAGATATCTTATTTTATTCTCACTCCTTTTACCAGTTAGCTTTCCAGTTTCCACTCATTGTATTAGATATGGAATGAGAATTGTCTCTCTCATTTTCAGCATAGGCTTAAAGTAAAAGGACAATACACACTTTTCTGCAATGAATATTGCCACAGTTGTAAAGAGAAGGCAGAGCAAGATGATGGAATAGAAGCCTATACTTATCATTTGCAACACCAAATTTTATCTACACACAGAAAAGCACCATCACAAGAACTAAAAATCAGGTAAGCAATCATAGTACACGGCTTTAACTTCATAACCTGGAAAGAAGCATTGAGGAGGGCAGAAAAGACAGTCTTGAATCACTGATGCCACCCTTCCCCCAGCCCCAGGTTGTGGCCATGAGGTATGGAGAAAGAATATGTGCATTTTGGGAAGACAGAGAGCAGTGACTGGGAGACTTTACATCGAACTCAGTGCTACCTTGTCACAGTAAATAAATAAATGCCGAACTCAGCCAGCACTCATGCACAGAAGGAGCATTTGGACCAGCCCTAGTCAGAGGGGAATCTGCCATCCCAGTTGTTGGAACTTGGGTTTCCCATCAAGCCTTGCCACCACAAGCTAACGTGCTCTAGGATCTTTGATATACTTGAAAAGCAGTCTAGGAAACAAGGTCTGCAATTCCTAGGGAACTCCCTGTGCTAGGCTCGACTTAGAGCCAGTGAACAGAGTGGCATGTGTCCTAAGGAGACACTAGCTGGTGAGGCTATGGGAGTGCTTGCACCATGTCACCCCCTACCCCAGGCAGTGCGGCTCAAAACAATGAAAGGGACTCCTACTTTCTGCTTAACAAGAGGAGAATGAAGAATAAAGAAGACTTTGTATTGCATCATAGATACCAGCTCAGCCACAGTAGGACAGGGCACTGGGCACATTCAAGAAGGTCTCATTCCAAGCCTTAGCTCCGACATGGTATTTCTAGACACATCCTGGGTCAAAAGGGAACCTCCTGCCTTGAAGGAAAGGATGCAGTCCTGTCAGCATTTATCACCTGTTAACTGAAGAGCCCTTGGGCTCTGAATAACCAGCAGTGATACCCAGGTACTACACAGAGGTCTTAGTGAGCCTCTGAGATGTGCTGGCTTCAGGGAAACTCAGCGCATTATCAGCAGTGGTGGTTATAGGGCAAAACTCCTTCTGCTTGAGAAAAGCAGTGGGAACAGTAAAAGGGACTTTGTCTTGCACCCTAGGTACCAGCTTGGCCACAGTGGGGTAGAGCAACAAGCAGTCTTTTGGGGTTCCTGAGTTCACGCCTAGGCTCTTGGACAGCATTTCTAGACATGCCCTTGGCCAGAGGGAGTCCATTGCCATAAAGGGTGAGTTCAAGCCTGGCTGCATTCACCACAGGCTGATGCAAGAGGTCCTGGGCTTTAAGGGAACATAAGCGGTGGCCTGGAAGAAATCCCCCATGGACTGGTGTACTGCTGGCCACAGGGAGAGGCTCCTCTGCCTGTGGAAAGGGAAGAGAACAGTGGGAAGGACTTTGTATTGTGGTTTGAGGGCAAGCTTAGACACAGTAGAATAGAATAATCCCTGGCTCTAAGAAAGCATCACTGGGCTTATAGGAACTTGCCACCCTGAAGAGAAGGCCATGGGCAAGGGCCAGAACTGCGCTGGCTTCAGGAATGACCTAGCAAAGTCCCAGTGGTAGTGGCCACAGAGGTGCTTGCATCACCACACCTCCAGTTGCAGACGGCTCAGCACAGGAAAAGAGACTTCATTTGTTTGGGAGAAAGCAAGAGAAAAGAGCATACTCTCTGCCTGGTGATTCCAAGAATTCTTCCAGATATTATCCAAGACTACCAAAGAGGTACCTCTATGAGTCTGCAAGAACCACAGCATTATTAGACTTGGAGCCCAGGTCCCTTCAAATTCCTAGAAAGTCTTCCCTATAAGGATAGGGAAAAACAAGCCCAGACACTGAAAACTACAATAAATATCTAACTCTCTTTAATGCCCAGACACTGATGAACACTTACAAATATCAATACCATCCAGGAAAATGTGACATCACCATATGAACTAAATGAGGCACCAGGGACCAATCCTGGAGAAAGAGAGATATATGATGTTTCAGAGAGATAATTCAAAAAACTGTTTTGAGGAAAATCAAAGAAATTCAAGATAACACAGAGAAGGAATTCAGAATTTTATCAGATAAATCCAACAATTCTAGAGTGGAAAGATGCAACTGACATGCTGAATAATGCATCAGATTCTCTTAATAGCACACGTGATCAAGCAGACAAAAGAATTAGTGAGCTTGAAGACAGGTTATTTAAAAATACACAGTCAGAGGAGACAAAAGAAAAAAGAATAAAAAACTATGAAGCATGCCTACAAGATCTAGGAAATAGCCTAAAAAGGGCACATATAAGAGTTACTGGCCTTGCCGGGTGCAGTGGCTCATGCCTGTAATCCCAGCACTTTGGGAGGCCAAGGTTGGCAGATCACGAGGTCAGGAGTTTGAGACCACTCTGGCCAACATGGTGAAACCCCATCTTTACTAAAAATACAAAAAAAAAAAATTAGCTGCGTGTGGTGGCGCGTGCCTCTAGTCCCAGCTACTCAGGAGGCTGAGGCAGGAAAATTACTTGAACCCAGGAGGCAGAGGTTGCAGTGAGCTGAGATCACACCACTGCACTCCAGCCTGGGCAACAGAGCAAGACTCCATCTCAAAAACAACAACAAAAAAGAGTTACTGGCCTTAAAGAGGAGGTAGAGAAAGAAACAGGGGTAGAAAGTATATTCAAATGGATAATATTAGAAAACTTTCCAAACCTAGAGAAAGATATAAACACTCAAGTACAAGAAAGTTACAGAATACCAAGCAGATTTAACCTGAAGGAGATCACCTCAAGGCATTTAATAATCAAACTCCAAAAGGTTAAGGATAAAGAAAGGATCCTAAAAGCAGCAAGAGAAAAGAAACAAATAACATACATTGAAGCTCCAATACATCTTGCATCAAACTTTTCAGTAGAAACCTTACAGGACAAGAGAGAGTGGCATGACATATTTAGACTGCTGAAGGAAATAAAATTTTTATTCCAGAATAGTATATCTTGTGAAAATATTCTGTAAGCATGAAGGAGAAATAAAGCCCTTCCCACACAACCAAAACCTGAGGGATTTCATGTCCTATAAGAAATACTAAAGGGAAATCTCCAATCTAAAAGAAAAGGATGACAATGAGCAAGAAGAAATCACTTGAAGATACAAAACTCATGGGGAATATTAATAGTAAGTATAGAGAAAACCACAGACTAGTATAACACTGTAATGGTGGTGTGTAAACTACTCTTACTCGAAATAGAAAGAATAAATTATGAACCAATCAAAAATAATAACTCCAACATTTTTGCAAGACACAGCAAAATAAGACATAAAGAAAAACAATAAAAAGTTAAAATAATGGGGGGATGAAGTTAAAGTGTAGAGTTTTTATTAGTTTTTTTTTGCATGTTTGTTTATGCAATCAGTGTTATTGTTATCCATTTAAAAAATCAGGTTGGTTGCTGTGGCTCAAGACTGTAATCCTGGCTAGCGCTTTGGGAGGCCGAGGCAGGCAGATCACCTGAGGTCAGGAGTTTGAGATCAGCCTGGCCAACGTGACAAAACCCTGTCTCTACTAAAAATACAAAAATTGGATGGGCATGGTAGTGCATGTCTGTAATCCCAGCTACTTGCGGGGCTGAGGCAAGATAATCACTTGAACCCAGGAGGTGGAGGTTGTAGTGAGTCAAAATCGTGCCACTGCACTCCAGCCTGGGTGACAGAGCGAGACTTTGTCTCAAAAAAATAATATCAGTTTTAAGATAATAGTTGCAAGCCTCATGGTAATCTCAAAGCAAAAATCATACAATGGATACCCAAAAACTAAAAAGCAAGAAGTTAAAGAATACCACCAGAGAAAATCACCTTCACTAAAAGGAAGACAGTAAGGCAGAAAAAAAGACTGCAAAATAATTGAAAATAAATAACAAAATGGAAGGAGTATGTACCTGCTTATCAATAATAATATTGAATGTAAATAAAATAAACTCTCTAATCAAAAGACAGAGTGGTTGAACTGATTAAACAAAAGAAGACCCAATGACCTGTTGCCTACAAGAAACACATTTCACCTATAAAGATAAACACACACTAAAAAAAAAAGATGGAAAAAGATATTCCATGCCAATATAAACCAAAAAAGAGCAGGAGTATGTATAGTGACATTAGACAAAACAGATTTAAAGACGAAAAGTATAAAACACAATAATGGTCATTATACAATGATAAAGGGGTCAATTCCACAAGAAGATTTAACATTTGTAAACATATATGCACCCAACACTGGCACACCAAGACATGTAAAACAAGTATTATTAGAGCTGAAGAGAGTGATATACCCTAATACAATAATAGTTAGAGACTTCACCCCGCTTTCAGGATTGGACAGATATTCCACACAGAAAATCAACAAAGAAACTTCAGATTTAATCTGCATAGTAGAACAAATGGAACTAATATTTACAGAACATTTCATCAAACAGCTACAGAATGCACATTTTTTCTCCCCTGCACATGGATCATTCTCAATGACAGACCATATAATAAGTCACAAAACTAGTCTTAAAACATTCAAAAAATTGAAACAATATCAAGAATCTAGCTGGGCATGGTGGCTCACACCTGTAATCACAGCACTTTGGGAGGCCGAGGCAAGCAGATCACTTGAGGTCAGGAGTTCAAGACCAGCCTGGCCAACATGGTAAAACCCCGTCTCTACTAAAAATACAAAAATCAGCCAGGCGTGGTGGTGCACATATGTAATCCCAGCTACTTGGGAGACGGAGGCTGGAAAATCACTTGAACCTGGAAAGCAGAGGTTGCAGTAAGCCGAGATCACACAACTGCACTCCAGCCTGGGCAACAGAGTGAGACTCCATCTTAATAATAATAATAGTACTATCAAGAATCTTCTCTGACCATAATGAAATAAAACTACAAATCAATAACCAGAGGAATTGTGGAAGCTATAAAAACACATGGAAACTAAACAATATGTTCCTAAATGATCAGTGAGTCAGTGGGTCAATAAAGAAATTAAGAAGAAAATTTAAAAATTTCTCAAAACAACTGAAAATGGAAACACAATATACCAAAATCTTTGGAATACAGCAAAAGCAGTACTAAGGGGGAGATTGATAGCTGTAAATGCCTACATAAAAACAAACAAACAAAAACTCTTCAAATAAATAACTCAGTGATGCATCTTAGAGAACTAGAAAAGCAAGAACAAACTCAATACAAACTTATTATAGAAGAAAAGAAATTAATAAAGATCAGAACAATTAAATGAACTTGAAATGAGGAAAACAACATAGAAGATCAATGAAATGAAAAGTTGGTTTCTTTGAAAATATAATCAAAATTTACTAATCTGTAGCCCGACTAAGAAAAGGAAAGACAAAAATAAATAAAATCAGAGATGAAAAAGGAGACATTACAACGGATACCACAAATTCAAAGAATCATCAGTGGTTACTGTGAGCAACTACATGCCTTTAAATTGGAAAACCTAGAAGAATAGGTAAATTCCTAGACACATACAACCTACCAACATGGAATCATGAAGAAATCCCAAACCTGAACAGACCAATAACAAGTAACAAGATCGAAGCTCTAAATAAAAAGTCTCCCAGGAAAGAAAAGCCTGAAACCTGCTGGTTTCACTGCTGAATTCTACCAGACATTTAAAGAAGAGCTAGTACCAATTCTACTCAAACTTTTCAAAAAATAGAGGAAGAGGGACTGTTGCCAAACTCATTCAACATGGCCGGTATTACCCTGATACCAAAAGAAGATGCCAGACAAACATGTATCAAAAAAAGGAAACTACAGGCCAATATCTCTCCTGAATATTGATGCAAAAATCTTAAATAAAATACTACAAACTGAATTAGACAATATATTAAATAGAGCATTCATCATAACCAAGTGGGATTTATCACAAGGATGCAAAGATGACTCCACATACACAAATCAATGTGATGTGTCATATCGACAGAATTAAGGACAAAAACCATATGGTTATCTCAATTGATGCTAAAAAGCATTTGATAAAATTAAACACCTCTTCCTGATAAAAACCCTCAAAAACTAGGTATAGAAGGAACGTATCTCAACATAATAATAGCAATAAATGACAGACCTAAGTCTAATATTATAGTTAATGGGGAAAAACTGAAAGCCTTACTTCTTATATTTGGAACATGACAAGGATGCCCACTTTCACCACTATTATTCAACATAGCATGAGAAGTGTTAGCTAGAGCAATCAGAAAAGAGAAGGAAATAAAGGACATCCAAATTTATTTTTACTTTTAATTATCTGTTTATTTATTTAGACAGAGCTCACTCTGTCACCCAGGCTAGAGTGCAGTGGCAAGAGCCTGGCTCACTGCAACCTCCATCTCCCAGGTTCAAGAGATTCTTGTGCCTCAGCCTCCCAAGTAGCTGGAATTACAGGCATGCACCACCATGCCCAGCTAATTTTTGTGTTTTTAGTAGAGAAGGGGTTTCACCCTGTTGGTCAGGCTGGTCTTGAACTCTTGACCTCAAGTTATCTGCTCACCTTGGCCTCCCAAAGTGCTGGGATTACAGGCCTGAGCCACTGCTCACAGCAAGGCATCCAAATTTAAAGGAAGAAGTGAAATTATTTTTCTTTGCAGTTGATAACGATCTTACTGTTGGAAAAACCGAAAGACGCCACCGAATAACAATTAGAACTGATAAATAAATTCAGTATAGTTGCAGGATACAAAATTAAGACAAAAAAATCAGAAGTATTTCTATATGCGAACAGTGAACAACTTGAAAAAGAAATAAAAAAGTAATCCCATTTACAAGGGCTACAAATAAAATGAAATACCTAGGAATTAACTTATCCAAAGAAGTGAAGGATCTTTATAATTAATACCATGAAGCTCAGATGAAACAAAGAGGACACAAAAATTCAAGATATTCCATGCTCATCAATCACAAGAGCCAATATTGTTAAAATGTCCATGCTACCCAAAGGAATTTACAGATTCAATGCAAAATACCAATGACATTTTTCACACAAATGGAAAAAAAAATAATTCTAAAAGGTATATGGAATCACAAGTGACTCATAATAGCCAAACCCATCCTGATCACAAGGAACAACACTACAGGAATCATATTACTTGACTTCAAATTATACTATGAAGCTATAATAACCAAAACAGCATGGTACCAGCATAAAAAGACACACAGATCAATGGAACAGCACAGACAACTCAGAAACAAATCCATACACCTGCAGTGAATTCATTTTTGACAAAGGTACCAAGAACATACACTAGAGAAAAGTCAGTTTCTTCAATGGATGATGCTGGAAAAACTGGATATTCGTAGTCAGAAGAATGAAACTTGATCTCTGTCTCTCACCTTACAAAAATATCAAATCAAAATCAATAAAAAGACTTAAATCTAAGACTATGAAAGTACTACAAGAAAACTTTGGAGAAACTCTCTAAGACATTGTTTTGGGCAAAAATTTCTTCAGTCATATCCCAGAAGCACAGGCAACCAAAGCAAAATGGACAAATGGAATCACATCAAGTTAAAAAGCTTCTGCACAGCAAAATATATTATCAACTAAGTGAGGAGACAGCCCAGAGAAAGGGAGAAACTATTTGGAAACTATCCATCTGACAAGAGATTCATAATCAGAATATATAAGGAGCTCAAACAACTCTAGAGGAAAAAAAATCTAACAATCCAATTAAAAATGGGCAAAAGATTTGAATAGACATTTCTGAATAGAAAACATGAAATGGCAAACAGGCATATAAAAAGTGCTCAACATCATTGATCCTCAGAGAAATTTAAATCAAAACTACAATGAGACATCACCCCAGTTTAAGTGGGTTTTATCCAAAAGTCAGGCAATAACAAATGCTGGTAAGGATGTGGAGAAAAGAAAACCTTTGTACATTGTTGGTGGGAATGTAAATTAGTACAACTACTATGAAGAAAAGTTTGGAGGTTCATCAAAAAACTAAAAATAAAGTTACCATACAATCCAGCAATCTTACTGTTGGGTATATATCCAAAAGGGATATATAAGTATATCAAAGTGATATCCGCAGTATAACAAAGTGATATCCGCACTCCCATGTTTGTTGCAACACTATTCACAATAGCCAAGATTTAGAAGCAACCTAAGTATCCATCAAGGGATGAATGAATAAGGAAAATGTGACACTTATCCACAATGGGGTACTATTCAGCCATAAAAAAAGAATGAGATCATCCAGTCATTTGTAACAACATGGATGGTGTGCATCCATCAGCCCCTGTAGTTTACCCCCAGGCCCCAGGAGCATACCCACGAGCCCCAGGGATCCACCCTCAGGCAATGGGGTTCAATGCCCAGCCTCCCAGAGACCACCTGTAAGCTTCTGGAATCCATCCTGCAGCTCCTTGGGTCCACCCTCAGCCTCCTGGAGTTTACCCCTCAGATCCTGGAGTGCACCCCCAATGTCCCTGATGCTGAAGGCCATGCTTTCCTCTGAAAGCCCTGGGAGCTATCTCCTCCTCCTGCAACTAAATGAGAAGCTACCCGCTTTCCCAGCAAGCATAGTGTTCTGTGGGTTCCTGCATTTCCCCATGGAGAGAAATTTGATCTTTTGTATTGGCCCCGAGCTCATTAAACTGCCTCCCCCGGGGAGAAAAACAAAAAACAACAAAAAATTTATTGCACTGTCCAATTTAGAACTAATAAGTTTCTCAATTATAATAAAATCATAAATCTATAATTACCTTGTGATTTCATTTAAATGAAATTCTAGAATAAGCAAACTTACCTATCATGTCATGGCAGAAAACAAAGTAGTAGTTGCCTGGAACAGGGAAGAGGAAAGACTGACCACATAGTAACATGACAAAACTATTTATTTATTTATTTATTTATTTATTTATTTATTTATTTTTAATTTGTGTGGATTTGATAGAAATGTTCCATACCTCGATTGTGGTGGTAGTTACATGGGTGTATACATTTTTCTGAACATGTTGAACTGTACAATCAAAATTGGTGCATTGTATTGTATGTAAACTATAAAGTTAGATTTTTAGAAGAACAAAAAATAAAATGTACGTTAATATGTCCTTAAAAAAGTTTATAACTAAAATGAGGCCATCACTGCTGCCAATGCAAATGTGTGCATGGAGGGCAGCATCCTTGAAACCACCAGTGACCCACCCATGCTGCCATCACTGCTGGTACAAGTGCAAGCATGGACACAGGCAACCCTACCCCTGCCAGTCCCCCACCCCCACCACACCACCTACACAAGTTCACCCAAGAACACCAATGTCCCACTCCTACCAGTACCCAACCCCAGCAAATACACGTGCACCCTGCTGTGCTGCCATGGCTACTGGTACACATGAGCAAGCATGAATTCTGCTGTCACCACCCCAAGAAAGTGTTTTAGCCAGTACAACCCATCAGAGTGTTGTGGCTGCAGACAGGGAATGTTTCAGTCCCTCCAGCACAGCAGATTCCTAATTTGCAGAGGCCAGAAAACAAAGCTGGGGGCCCAATACCTGCCTCCCAGAATTAGAGCACACAGCCCAAGAGTGCTGAGCTGAGCCTTGGTGCCCTAAAATCGTCCAGAAACAAAGCCAGTCAACTGAATCAACCTTATATCACAATCAAACCCCCAAAGCCATCGAAGAAGAAACAAGTAAATTCTCATCCAAAGGATAGCAATTCCAAAGATAGAAGAAACAGCCAACACAGATGAGAAAGAACTAGTGTGAGAACCATGGCAACTCGAAAACCAGAGTGTTTTCTCACATCCAAATAACTGCTCTAGTTCCCCAGAAATGGTTCTTAACCAGGCTGATATGGCTAAAATGACAGAAATAGAATTCAGAGTGTGGATATAAATGAAGACCATCAAGATTCAGGAGAAACTTGAAATGCAATCCAAGAAATCTAAGGAATACAATAAAATAACCCAGGAGATACATGAAATGTCTGTTTTAAGAAAGAACCAAGCTGATCAGATAGAGCTAAAAACTCACTTTAAGAATTTTTTTAAAAATTTTGAATGCATAGCTTTTTTTTTTTAATACTTTAAGTTCTGGGATACATATGCAGAATGTGCAGGTTTGTTACATAGGTATAAACGTGCCATGGTAGTTTGCTGCACCAATCAACCCATCATCTACATTAGGTATTTCTCCTAATGCTATCCCTCCCCTAGCCCCCCACCCCCCGACAGGCCTGGTGTGTGATGTTCCCCTCCCTGTGTCCATGTGTTCTCATTGTTCAACTCCCACTTATGAGTGAGAACATGCGGTGTTTGGTTTTCTGTTCTTGTGTTAGTTTGCTGAGAATGATGGTTTCCAGCTTCATCCACGTCCCTGCAAAGGACATGAACTCATCCTTTCTTATGGCTGCATAGTATTCCATGGCGTATATGTGCCACATTTTATTCAGTGTATCATTGATGGGCATTTGGGTTGGTTCCAAGTGTTTGCTATTGTGAACAGTGCTGCAACAAACATAAGTGTGCATGTGTCTTTTTAGTAGAATGATTTATAATCCCTTGGTTATATACTCAGTAATGGGATTGCTGAGTTAAATGTTATTTCTGGCTCTAGATCCTTGAGGAATCGCCACACTGTCTTCCACAACGGTTGAACTAATTTACACTCCCACCAATAGTATAAAAGCATTCCTATTTCTCCGCATCCTCTCCAGCATCTGTTGTTTTCTGACTTTTTAATGATCGCCATTCTAACTGGCATGAGATGGTATCTCATTGTGGTTTTGATTTGCATTTCTCTAATGACCAGTGATGATGAGCTCTTCTTCATATGCTTGTTGGCTGCATAAATGTCTTCTTTTGAGAAGTGTCTGTTCATATCCTTTCATGTTAAAAATCCTGAACAAACTAGGCTCTGAAGGAGCATACCTCAAAATAGTAAGAGCTATCTATGACATTCCCACAGCCAACATCATATTGAATGAGCAAAAGCTAGAAGCATTCCTCTTCAGAACAGAAACAAGACAAAGATGACCACTCTAATACTCCTATTGAACATAGTACTGGAAGTCCTAGGAATAAAAATCAGACAATAGAAATAAATAAAAGATAAAAGGCATCTTAATAAAAAGAGAGGAAGTCAAACTATCTCTGTTTGTAGGTGATATCATTCTATACCTAGGAAGCCCCATAGTCTTTGCCTCAAAGCTCCTAGATCTGATAAACAACTTCAGCAAAGTTTCATAATACAAAAATCATGTACAAAAGTCAGTAGTATTTCTATACACCAACAACATCCAAACCGAGAGCCATATCAAGAACACAATCCTATTTATAATAGGCATAAAAAGAATGAAATACCTAGGAATAGAACTAACCAGAGAAATGAAATGTCTCTACTATGAGAATTACAAAACACTGCTCAAAGAAATCAGAGATGACACAAACAAATGCAAAAACATTCCATGCTCATGGATAAGAAGGATCAATATTGTTAAATGGCCATACTGCCCAAAGCAATTTACAGATTCAGTGCTATTATTATCAAACTACCAATGACATTCTTCAGCAAATTAGAAAATGCTATCTTTAAATTTATATGAAACTAAAAAACAAACAAACAAACAAAAAAATCAACCCAAATAGCCAAGGCAATCCTAAGTAAAAAGAACAAAGTTGGAGGCATCACATTACTCAACCTCAAACTATACTATATGGCTACAGTAACTAAAACATCATGGTACTGGCATCAAAAAAGACTCACTGACCAATGGAACAGAAGACAGAGCCCCCAAATAACGCAACACACCTACAATAACTTGATCTTCCAGAAATTGACAAAAACAAGCAATGGAGAAAGGACTCCCTATTCAATAAATGGTGCCGGAACTGGACCCATTCCTCTCACCATACATAAAAATCTACTTAAGATGAATTAAAGACTTAAATGTAACACCTAACATATGAAAACTCTGGAAGACAATTGAGGCAATACAATTCTGCACATAGGCTCTGGCAAAGATTTTATTACAATTCGCCAACAGGAAATGAAATAAATCAAAAGTTGACACATGAGAACTAATTAAACTCAAGAACTCCTACACAGCAAAAAGAAACTATCAACAGAGTAAACAGACAACCTACAGTATGGGAGAAAATATTTTCAAAGTATGCATCTGACAAAGGTCTTATATCCAGAATCTACAAAGTACTTAAACAAATTAATGAGCAAAAATCAAACAATCCCATTAAAAAGTAGGCAAAGGACATGAACATATACTTTGCAAAAGTGTACATACATGTGGCCAACAAGCATATGAAAAAATGTTCAGTATCACTAATTATTAGAGAAATGCAAATGAAAACTACAATGAGATACTATTGCATGCCAGTAAGAATGGCTATTATTAATAAGTCAAAAAATAATAAATGCTGGCAAGGTTGTGGAGAAAAGGCAATACTTTTACACTGCTGGTGGGAATGCAAATTAATTCAGCAATTTTGGAAAGTGGTTTGGCGATTTCTCAAAGAACTTAATACAAAATTACCATTTAACCCAGCAATCTCATGATTGGGTATATACGCAAACGAATAGAAATTGTTCTACCATAAGGACTCATGCACATGTATGTTCATCATAGCACCATTCACAGTAGCAAAGGCATGGAACCAACCTAAATGCCCATCAATGTTAAACTAGGTAAAGAAAATGTTGTACACATTCACCATGGAATACTATGTAGCCATAAGAGAGAATGAGATCATGTCCTTTGAAGCAACATAAATGGAGCTGGAGGTCATTATCCTAAGTGAACTTATGCAGGAACAGAAAACCAAATACTGCATGTTATAAGTAGAAGCTAATCATTGAATACACATGGACACAAAGAAGAGAAGAACAGACACCCCAGGGTCTACTTCAGGGTGGAGGGTGTGCAGAGGCTGAGGATTGAAAATCTGTCTGTCAGGTACTATGCTTATTACCTGAGTGACAAAACAATTCATATAGCAAACTCCTGTAACATGCAATTTGCCTTTATAACAAACCTGCACCTGTACCCATGAACCTAAAATAAAAGTTTGCAAAAAAATTAATTCCCCAGGAATCAAAGAAAGAAACAAAATAAAACAAAATTACTTATAAAGTCATCTGAAACTTAGAGAAACCATCCCGTTTCCTATGGAATTATTTTATGTTACATTTATGACACACAGAACAGAATAAAAGCAGAAATGTTTATTTTAAATCATTTTCCTGTATTTTTAAATTGGGAGTTCATCAGATTGTGGATGGAATTTTCTCAAAGTGCCAAGCAATTAGCTAATCCCTGTTTTTAGATGCAAACTTTTTTTTATGGGTATAATTTTAGTGCTTGCAACAATCTATACCTATGAATAAAAAAGAAGAACCTAATTGGATCAAGGAAAGCACCTACATATTAAATTAGTTGTGCATGTCAAGCTGCATATATAAGCAGAGTAGATAAATTTAGCTTTGGTTAATATATATATAAGTTTTTCAAATGATGACTAAATGGGCATTAAATACCTGTGAAATAGGTAAGCAGAAAGATTAAGTAGCAGTGATGCCTAGGCTTGCAGAGTTATCATAAAACTATTATATTAAGGAGGTCTAAATTACAGGACTGTAATTCTAGGATCAAAAGCCCGGCTTTGTTCCCCATCATAAAAATCAGTGTGCCATACTTTCTTCTATGCAGGTATGATATAAATCTACATTATTTTCCAAATGTGATATTTATGTGAATTTTTACATGTTAAAAATATAAGGAACCAAGGTAGGAGATTTAGTTGCTGGAATTTCTTTGGTTTAGAATCCATTTGATATATGTAAGGTTGTTCTCACCATTGGGGCTTCATATCTACACTCTGCACACATATTGTAAGCATATACAGGCCTTTTACAACTGTTACAATTGAAAATGAGATTCTGAGTACTCAGAAGCAATATGGTATACTGAAAAATATTACTAGACCTATGTCTGCATCCTAGAAAACTCAAATACCTCCTTGAATTTCCATTTTCTCATCTTTAAATAGAAATTCATAAAGTCTGCCTTTCCTAGCTCATGGGATTGTGAGGATCAAATAATGTAATATATGAAAAAGTCCTGTACAATATGAGTTGGTATCATTATTATAGTTAGGTTTTCTGTCACACAATATGTATCATCAAGAAGTATGTATCAAATTTCTACTATGTTTATATATTAACTGGAACTTTTTATCAGCCCTTTTGCTTTTAAGCACAAAATTAATGCATTCATATCATACAGCCAAAATTTATTAGACACACAGAATCAGGATTTTAATAACTTTTAATAGCTCTGTGGAAGCATCATATCACAAGCTTCAGTTTAACTTAGATGCAAAACCTAATTCAACTCTTTGGGTTTTTATATTTTAGAAACACTTGGGAACATATAATTTCCTCACCTCTGCAACAACCTGCCACTGTTAATGACCAGTGTAAACCATTGACAAGAGAGGAATCTATGCACCTTGAACCACAATATCAAATTCAATTTCCCACCACAATTTCTGAGAATATAAATCACAGAAAAATACAGCATTGAAATAATATCAATATTTTGAATCTGAATATTTATTCGGTTCTGTTTTTTTACTGTAAATCTGAATTCTGATCAGCATTTATCAACATAAACACACATGCATTACTGCACTGGAATTATGAAATACAATGTCAATATCAATGACTAAGTACAATATCTCTTTCTTCATCCAAAATTTTTAATAATATTTTATGAGCACATAACTATTTGACCATATGTATTGTGTAAATACCATGACATGTACTTGTATATAGAAATGAATTACACATACTATGAGGATTAAACAAATACATACAAGCAGATACGTTTTTACATATATATAATTGATTTTATTCATAGCATTTGCAACTTCTTATGGACCATATTGGTAGGTTTATGAAATATAGTCCAAAAATTGGTTTTTTGTTATTCGATTTTATTTTAGATTCAGAAGGTACATGTGCAGGTTTGTTACATGGATATGCTGAAAATTATGGTGAGGTTTTGGCTTCTAGTGAGCCCACAAGCTAAATAGTGAACATTGTATCCAACAGGTAATTTCTCACTCCTCAATCCCCTTCCATCCTTCCCCTTTTTGGAGTCTGCACAGAAATAGTTTCCAGAAACTATGTCATCTTGCACCACCAGCCCTTCCTCTTTTAGGTATTAGTTGCACTAATAAAAACAGAAAGGTAGATATCTTAGATAATTTTAATATATCCAGCCATGTGACTGTCTCCATCAACCATGAGGCTCTAGAGGACTGAGTTAAAATAGGCCTGAGAGAAGTGAGGAGAGATCACTGGGAGGTTTTGTCCCAAGACTTGAGTAACCAAGATGGACAATAAAGTGAGAAGAGCAACATAGAAAGGGAAGAAATTAAAGGCAAATCAAGTAGACTGCAATTTTATTATACGTGGCTGTGAATCTATTATCATCGTGATTAAAATGAATAATTTCAATTCTAATAGCAAAATAACTGGATTCAGAATTGAATCCACAACATAATGAGTAAAATGTCTATTATCTAAAGAGTGACTGTATACTCAAGTTACTTGTCTATAAAGATAAGCAATAAATCTTTTCCTCAAGTTATATGAATGGTATAAGTTTATAAAAATGAGTCATCCTGTGTAAGTTCAAGTTGAACACATGGCAAACAGAATGTAAATTCAGAATTGAGAAACCAATTTGCAAAACTCATACTATGCTGATATTCTGATAACTGAATTAAGCACCATTAATGATCTTTATTTCATTTATTTCATTTGCATTTTGGAAGTTTTAGTTCCAGTTCAATAATAAAATGAAAGCTTGGAATAAATCAAAAAGTATTTGAAGTCCTTGAAAGATATTAAGGTAACAGAGTTTTCAAATGTTGAAGTAAATCAAACTTCAATATTAGATGCCCACTGCTAAAGACTGTCAGACGGACTACAGTGTTTTTGATGTACTGCATGTTAGCTTTAATCACATTACGTAGAAAACTCCTATGACAGCATTCTGTGCCACTTCGTGGCCATATACACTATCAATTATAGCTCCCACTTAGCTAGGACAGAAAGAAGCCTCATTATAAAGAGTAGAGATTGGTCCTCCAATCTGATTCAAAACAATGATTCATAAACCATCTTTAAAATTATAGATGCCAATATACCCATATAATCCCCATGTGGATACTCATATTTTTCTCTAATCTTGGTTGATTTCTTAAATGAAGTTATTTTTGCATAATAGGCTATTACGTTTCCCTTCTCCTCACTTCAGTGTCTGCTTTGTTGTTTTTTGTTTGTTTGTTTTGTCATTTTGAGGACTCGCTTTATTGCACTTGAGTGTAACTTTACATCTAAAGACGCAACTAGTTATCTTTGTCCAGAATGAAGAGTTAGGTCACAAATTAAAAACCTATATAATAATATAAATGCACATAAAAGTGAAAATAAATTGTTATATCTTGAAACGGAAAACATCAAATAATGTTTTTTACATATAAGTGAAGAATATTAAATTCCTGCATGTGTGTGTATGTGCTATTTCTTTTTAAGTAAAAAACAGATTTTAAGCTGATTAAAATTTAGAATAAGATGTAAATTTTAAAAGTTAAGTCTAAATACATAAATATAATTTTAAATAAGTGTAAAAAATTAACTCTAGTTGGGTAAAAGACTTAAATGTAAAGTCCAAAACTATAAGAATCTCGGAAGACAACCTAGGCAATACCATTCAGGACATAGACATGGGCAAAGATTGCATGACAAAGATGTCAAAAGTAATTGCAACAAAAGCAAAAAATGACAACTGGGATCTAAGGAAACGAAAGAGCTTTTACACAGCAAAAGAAACTATCAAAGAGTTAACAGACAACCTACAGAATGGGAGAAAATTCTTGCCAACTATGTATCCAACAAAGGTCTAATATACAGCATGTATAAGGAACTTAAATTTACAAAAAAAACCACACAAACAATTTTATTAAAAAGTGAGCAAAGGACATGAACAGATACTTTTCAAAAGAAGACATACATGCAGCCAACCATCATGAAAAAAATGATCAAAATCACTGATCATTAGAGAAATGCCAATCCAAACCACAATGAAATACCATCTCACACCAGAGTGCCTATTTTTAAAAAGTCAAAAAATAACAGATGCTGATGAGGTTGTGGAGAAAAAGGAATTCTTATATACTGTTGGTGGGAGTGTAAATTAATTCAACCATTGCAGCAGACAGTGTGGTGATTCCTCAAAGACCTAAAGACAGAAATACCATTCGACACAGAAATCCCATTACTAAGTATATACCAAAAGGAATATAAATCATTCTATTATAAAGACATGTGTACACATATGTTCACTACAATAGCAAAGACATGAAATCAACCTAAATGCCCATCAATGATAAACTGGGTAAAGAAAATGTGGTACATATATACCATGGAATACTATGCAGTCATAAAAAAGGTCATGTCCTTTGCAGGGACATGGAGGGAACTGGAGGTCATTATCCTTAGCAAACTAACAAACGAACAGAAAACCAAATACTGCATGGTCTGACTTATAATTGGGAGCTAAATGATGAGAACACACTGACACATAGAGGGGACAGCACACACTGGGGCCTATCAGATGGTGAAGGGTGGGAGGAGGGAGAAGATCAGGAAAAATGGCTACTAGGCTTACTATCTGGGTGACGAAATAATCTGTACAACAAACCCCTATGACATAAGTTTACCTATGTTACAAACCTGCACATGTACCCTGAATTTAAAAGTTAAAAAAAAATAAGTAAATAAATCTAATATGGCTCTTATGTAAAGCCCCAAACACATGTCATATGAATATATATAGCAACGAAATATGATATTTGCTAGTATTTCAAGTAGCATATATGAGCTTTAAAAGAAGATTCATAGTCTCTCTTTCATTCCAGGTTTCTCCTACAGGCAACTTTGCCCAGTGTCTGGTTTGTTTCAATAGTGACTTTCTGTTTATTAATACAATTATAAATCGAATGCCATTGGATGGTTCTTAAATTGCTCTTTTTCTAAGAGAAACATAGTAATGAAATAATCCTGCAACCTGTAAACTACTATGTATCAAGTAGCAGTATAAAGGAAAGTAAAATAAAGGAACTCAGTTCAAATTTTATTCAGGCACATTATCCAGGACATCTCATGGCCACATATCCCAGTATGCCTACTTGCTCTTCATGTCTACTTTCCTTTAGGAGAAGTTAAAGTGAAGAGTATTTTAAGAATTCCACTCTGCCTTTCCTGGAATAGGAAGTTCAGGCATTAGGGTACCAGGTACTCTAGATATCCACATAATGGGTATTCCATATTCATTGAACAGCAAACTCCTTTTCTCTAAAGTATATATTTATAGTTTTATAACTTCTTTTGAGCAACTGGTTTCCTTCAACGATTGTCACATGTGTTTTCAGTTTCAAAGGCTAAATTAAACATTACACTGTGGTTACTTTTTCTTTTCTTTTCTTTTCTTTTTTTTTTTTTTTTTTTTTTTTGAGACAGAGTTTCACTCTTGTTGCCCAGGCTGGAGTGCAATGGCACGATCTCAGCTCACCGCAACCTCTGCCTCCCGGGTTCAAGTGATTCTCCTGCCTCAGCCTCCCGAGTAGCTGGGATTACAGGCATGTGCCACCATGCCCAGCTAATTTTGTATTTTTAGTAGAGGCAGGGTTTCTCCATGTTGGTCAGGCTGGCCTCGAACTCCCGACCTCAGGTGATCTGCCTGCCTGGGCCTCCCAAAGTGCTGGGATTACAGGCGTGAGCCACCGTACCCGGCACACACTATGGTTACTTTTTAATTCCAAGAAGTTCTTCCTTGAACTTCTGGTGAAGAAGCAATGACTCTATTAAACATGGAATCCTGTAAAAATTTCTTATTTATCAGGCTTTGACCAATGAAGTAAAAATTTTCACATAAAATATCTTGTTGGATTCTGACAAAACTGTGAGTTGGAAATATATCATTTCCATGGTCAACTTAAATAAGTAAAGTGATTTTAAAAAGGTTGCACAATTGGGAAATGACAAGAACATTGATCTTGTCCATTCCTTGCTAAATTTACCCTGCTTTGCTTCTAGGTCCCAAGTAGACATAAAGAGATAAACTTAAGCCAAATTTACAATTTGTAAGTGATTTAGCAATTAATGAGGCATTTATATAAGCTCTTGGCACACTTCAGATTATCCTCATGGCAATGTTGGGTGTTGAAATGTTAGTATCTTCAGTTAAATGATTGTGAAATGGAATCAGGAATACATGAGCATGGGCTGAGGTTCTACTAAGCATGAGTTCTGTGATCTTGGCCACATTTATTATTATTTCTTAGCCTTCATTTCCTCATTTGAAAAATGGGGATAACAGTTCTGAGAACAACCATGTTGAAAATTAAATGACATGTCAAGAGCAGATGACAACACTCAACCTGACATTTAAAAAATACCAGACTTGGACAGATGCAGTGGCTCACGCCTACAATCCCAGCACTTTGGGAGGCCGAGGCAAGTGGATCACGAGGTCAGGAGTTCAAGACCAGCCTGGCCAAGATGGTGAAACGCCGTCTCTACTAAAAATACAAAAATTAGCCGGGTGTGGTGGTGGGTGCCTGTAATCCCAGCTACTCAGGAGGCTGAGGCAGGAGAATCGCTTGAACCCGGGCGGCAGAGGCTGCAGTGAGCCGAGATTGTGCCACTGTACTCCAGCCTGGGTGACAGAGCAAGACTGTCTTAAAAAAAAAAAAAAAAGACTCAGTTCAATGTCGGTTCTTCCGCTGCTCTTTATTTTCCTTATTTGAAACATAGTAACCCAAAAAATGATAGTTTTGACCTCTTGGGTTTGACAATTTTCAGAACATTCTTGATGATAGTATTATGAATTTTTAAATAATTAAAGAAAGTATAGATAGGTAGTTATGAATTACTACTATGAAGACTGCAAAATATTACAAATCAGATTTAAAGTCAATTTTATAGCTATTTTTAAAACTAATAGGTTGACACCCTGGGGTTTATTATCATGCTGCTGTCTGTTGAACTAATGCAGTTTGGGACCCTGTGCCTCAGGATACACGTAAAGCATGTATTCGTATGCCAGTAAAATAAAAATTGTCTTCTGCTAGTGCAATAAAGCACACAGGCAATTGGAGAAACACCTGAAATGTAATAAAATTTTTTCTAATAACTTTCTAAATTTATATGATAAATATGTAAATACATGAATAGTACTAATAATTAACATTAGAATACATGAAATAAGAACTGTGAATAAAAGACGTGTTTTACATTCAATGAACATTTATTAAATAACTAAATATGTAGAGATCTTTTTTCGTACTGAGGAAATATTTCTGCTTCTAATTTCCAGCAACAAAAATGTAATGACTTTATTTTGAAATTTATTTTTTGACTTTAATTCAAACAAGAAGTCAGTAGTAAATAGTACAATTTTCTTACTTCATAAAGTTTTGATAGTGTCTACTTCAAGAAACCTTATTAGAGAGGAAAATGCTAAGAATTCTAGGGAAAGTGCTATATTTTCAGAGAATAAAAATTATGCATATGATGAAGTTCAACTATATTACAAGTATATAGAATATATCTGAAAATTGATGATGTTAACATATAATGCTTCTTGTGGTTTGGAAAGAAAAAAATTAATCCCACCTACCAGATTAATTAGGATGTTATAGAATGTTTGTGTCTGCAAGGTTAGTGTCTATTCTGTGTATCTTCTCTTAGTATAAATGCAGAAGTAAGTTGAGAGACAGAGAAAGAGAGAGAAAATGAATTAGATAATTATAACTGGACAATACTTATTATTATGGTATTTTTAAATAATTTTCTTCACCATGATTTTTATTTCTCTGTGATTTATAATGCATTAAAAGAGCAAGTCAATCAATGCAGACTTGAAAATCAGCACAACTTTATCCATTCTTTGTAAAACAAAGCACTTTAATGACTTAGTATCACCCATTCTGATCCCATTCCCACAAAACTCACTTACATGTAAAGCTAATTTTAAAACTGGACTTTATTGGGATTGCATTTGTTTTTCCTGCAGTATTCAACATTTTTGAAAAATATTGTGCCTACTATAGTTTCTGTAGTCATAAGGCATCTAAATTTCAAACCAAGGGTCAGATCATACTAGTTAAACATTCAAGTTTACTAAAGCAGAAGAAATGGGGATGGGACATTCATTCCAACTCCTCTGAGTTGCTGTGGGGATAAGAATGATTTGAGGAGCAAATTAGGGAGAATAATGAAAACAGAGTTTTACCTTTTTGTTACTTCTCAGTGTGCATGTAGTAGCATTTGCTGGAACTGGATGGAGACTAAAGAAAATATACTGTATGATAACTGAGTTGAAAGTGTTCACAATGGTATTTACATTTCAAAAACTATTTGTATGAGCATTTTACCAGCTTTATTGAAATATAATTTAAGTGTCATACTGTCCACCTTTTAAAACATGAAATTCATTAGTTTGCAGTATATTCAGACAGTTGTACAACCATTAAAACTATCAAAAATGTTCTTTTTATTATTAACCTGAATGTCTAGAGTTATTTACCCAGGCTCTCACTAACATTTTACCAAATTTTAATATACTTCACACCCATTTGATTCTTTGAAGATATATTGAGACCAATATCATACAATCTTAGTGATGAAACTCTATACACTCTCAAATCTTCCCATGTACAAAGATAAAGGAATGTAGTTTTGTATATTTTTCACTATATTGTTACTAGTACTGTAGAAATAAGAATATAATCTCTCCATGTACATGCATCTCAACAATTCATGATATTTTGTTTCTGGCCATAAATAGTAAACACCTAATTAATATACAGGTACATTTCCACCAGCTTGGAATTTAAAGCATGCTGTATTTGAAATCATTGCTATATCACTGCTCATATCACAAACCTAGGAGATACATTTTCTCTTTTGAAGTACCAATGCCTTTTAACATTAAAAGTTTAAAAATAAATTTAATCATCCAATTTCCAATAGTGAAGAGAAAGAGTAACACTTGTAAACCAACACTGGGAAATTAAACATGAAAGAGACATTAGGACAAAAAGATTTATCATATGCTGACTAAGGAAAGGAAGAGAACCGCAAGAAGTTTCTTAATGGTTTAGTGCTTGGAATTGAATGGGTAATAGTGCTTTCGAACTATATTTCATTTGATGCACTTGTTCATCTATCCCTCTATCCCTAAATCTATCAATCCTGTAACTCATGATTTGGTTTATAGAATTTGTGGAATGCTAATTTTCATAGTATAGAAATTTATATGAATAAACTTTTGTAGATTTTTGTATCAAGAAAGAATATCACTTATTGAAGTCAATGTGAGTAGACACAAAGGGGGCATCATGCCATACAGTTCTTTCAACAAATATTTATTACATTGAGATGTAAACCAGCTGACTTTGTCCAACTTGGAGCTACATGGGGTTCCAGTGCAATCAGAACCAAAACTTGCAAGGGAATTATAATCAATTTTCAACATGCATTGGAACATTTAGTTTTATTAAAAATATGTATTATTCGTTAACTCTGTCTGCTAGAAACTACCCTAGGTACTCGGAATATAAAGGTGTGTATGCCACAAAGTATATGTTACACTTAAAGAGTTTACAACCTACTTTGCTGGTACTTAGGTTAACTATCTTATATGAAAAGCTCATGATGAATGTCTCCATTTTAGAAGATACAGAAACAGGCACAGAATGATTAGTTAACTTGTCCAAGGTCACACAGTTAGAGAGTGTCAAAGTGTAAGACTTTGAACCCAGACGGTCTAGCTCCAGAATCCATACTCTTAAAAAGTGTACTGTACATATACTGCAAACTTTAGTGAATACTAAATAAATGAACAGCATCAAAACATGCTTCCAGTAAATTATGAATTTCATGATGGAAAATCATTCTACTATCCTTTATATTCATACCAATAAGATGATATGAAATACAACAAAAAACCTTCAATTTACATCCATACCTAACTTATCTTCTGAAAATATTTTTCTTGAAGTATGAATGCCAGCTTTTCTAAGAAGTAAAGGTAATTTTATTTTCATATAATACAAGCTTGTACCACTAACCGAAAGCAGAAAATGAATCAATGTGGGTTTCAGGGTCACCAAAATATTGGTATGTATATGTCAATAATACCTCTATTTTTAAGCCAAATATTTTGTTACATTTGGAAATTAAAACACACTGACAGCTGGGCCTGGTGGCTCATGCCTGTAATCCCAGCACCTTGGGAGGCCGAGGCGGGCAGATCACCTGAGGTCAGGAGTTCGAGACCAGCCTGCCCAACATGGCGAAACCCCGTCTCTACTAAAAATACAAAAAATTAGCCCAGCATTGTGGTGGGCGCCTGTAACCCCAGCTACTCGGGAGGCTGAGGCAGGAGAATCACTTGAACCTGAGAGGCAGAGGCTGCAGTGAGCAGAGATTGTGCCACTGCATTCCAGACTGGACAGCAAAGCGAGACTCCATGTCAAGAAAAAACAAACAAACAAAAAACCACGCTGACAATCATTGGTGCTAAGAAAAACTTAATTTTGTAATAATAAAGTATAAAAATATAATAACTAAACAAGACAAGGGAGAATTACCTTAGTATAAAATATTTACAGAATATTTATTTTTAATTAAAATACCTGTTTATCTACAGATACTATTTTTTTCTATCCATAAATACAATTTTAATCTTTCAAAGGCTAAATTCAATCTTACTAAAATTAAAATTCCAATTAATTTTTCAAGAAATGATGTGACTCTCCTTAAGTTCCACAGGAGATCCTCTAAAACTGTGAGGACTAAGCTCTGGTTTTTTTTTTATCTTGCCCAAATTTCCTTCTAAGGGGTCAGGGGAGTCATGCCCTACAAACCACAAATTCTTATCAGATGGGTTTTAGTTAACCTTTAACCTTGTATATCATGACTGACTTACTTTCCAATCTGACTCTGGCATAACAAGAGTAAAAAACAAAATGTTTTACCCCAAAATATATTTCCTTGCATACCTTGAAATTATCCTGCAATGTCTCTTGTGGGAAAAATCCACATTCTATAGAGAATCGCCTTTCCCCTTTGCTTTCCTTCCTTCCTTTCCAGATCCAGGAGATAATCAGCTAAGAGATAGGCACCCTTTTAGGTCCAATAAGAAACATTTTACAACCTGCTCTCTCTGAAGTTGGCTATCTGAGAGCTTCCTCTGCACTGTAAAACGTGGTCTCCACAATCCTTTATCCTAACCTAAACATTTCCTTTCTATTGATCCCAGGTCTTCAGATAAACTCAACCAATTGTCAACCAGAAAATGTTTAAATTTACCAATAGCCTGGAAGCCTTCACTTAGAGTTTTCCCACCTTTCTGAACCAAACAAATGTATTTCTTAAATGTATTTGATTGATGTCTCATGTCTTCCTAAAATATATAAAACGAAGCTGTGCCCCATCCACCTTGGGCACATGTTCTCAGGACCTCCTGAGGGCTGTGTCACGGGCCATGGTCACTGATATTTGGCTCAGAATAAATCTCTTCAAATACGGAGTTTAAGTCTTTTCATCAACAACTGTATTTGATGAGAAATCATGAGCTACCAATGCCACAGAATGAATTTATTTTTCTAATAGACATTTAACACGTAGCACTTTCAACCAAAGAGTGTTACTTTCCTCTAAATCATTTATTAAAATTCAGACTTTTTGCCACATTTAGCTTCTTTTGATAAGTAGCTATGTAAAAAGAACGAAGTATATTCTTTTTCAGTAATTAATATATCTAAGTTTTGAATTGTTTGGTAATTCTTTATCTGGCTTATCAATGTTAGGTGCCTTGCATTTACTCATTGAAACTAGATAGCTTATTCTTTAAATAAGAGCTTTTTTGTTTCATTTACTTTGAGCCATATCTTACAAAATGGAAGTTCTTTCGTCTCAAAGTTTTAAATAATGAGTATTTGAGAGAAGGGACACTTTGAACATAACCAAAGTGAGAAGATAAATGTTGAGGAAGAGAGAGAAAGTCGGTTTTTTTTTTTTTTTTCAAAAGAAAAGCTTTATATCAATAGGTAATCAAGAATTATTTGTATTTTGAAATGATGTGTTCCTGGAAGATCATGTCTTCTCCAAACCTCAGTAAGTTAGACTACTGGTCATTTCTTCTGAACCATGAAATTCCTGCATTTTAAGGCATCCACAAACATGGTATATTACTAAGTACTTCTACTTCTAATGCTGATACAAATGTCATTACTTTAGCCTGACCTGAAAAAAGTCATCAGCAAGTATTATTTTACCTCCCAGACATCAGAATGCAAATACTCTTTTCCCTCCCAGGCAGCTTTCCATTGTGCACTTAAAGCTCTTCCATAAAAGGAATGGGTAATCCAAAGTGGCTCCTGTGCATATAGCTACTTTGATTTTGACAATTCATTGAGCTGGATAAGGCTTGCTTTTTTTCTGGGGTGCTAAAACCTTCTCACTGCTGGAAAATACATTGTGTGCATGTTCCTAAATTAGACTTCCAAAAATATGCCTCTGTATTCCTTCCACAATGGATTTCAAATTTCTGACTGAAAGATGAGAAGATGGGGAAACTATTTACTCTGACTTCTTAGAAACAACAACAACAAAAAATAGAAAATGCTGCTCACCTTTCTATACCTAACCTGGAAATTTAAGCCATAAATATTTTCTGTTTAGGTTTCACTGTGCCATATGTCAGCTTTCAATAAATAGCCCAATAGCATCACATCCTAAAGTTTAAATATAGCTAAGCAAAGGCTCAAAGCTAAAGTACATAAATAACAGAATCATCTTAAATGTTTTGATTGGCAAAAAGAGCTGGAGGCTCTATCAATTTCACTGCTCCTGACTCAGTTCCTCCCTATAAAACAAGGTCTATCAAGGCATAAAAAGAATCACTGCAGTAGAACCCTAGTTTTTACTGGTTACACCCATAGAAAACAGGGACCAAAAATATTTACATTTCAAATAATATAAATGGAGAAATGTGAAATATAAATTATTGCCAAATATAAATGATACAGTATTAATACGATAATCAATTGTGTATATTTTCTAAATCTTTATACTTCACATTAATATATTATGCAAAGGAGATAGTGTGTGTTTAAACACCATTAAAATGTACGGTATTATTACAAAAATATCTTACTCCTCTCAAGATATATCCTAAAGAGAAAATAAACCATTGCTCTTTGCCCCTTTTGTATTTTAGATTTTATTTTTTCATGTAAGCATGTGTATGCATAGGTGGATATTTGGTTTCCCCTTTGTTAATGTTTTTTCTTAATTGAATTTTGTGAGCTCAAAGGGAAATCTATACAGATTATACAATGTTTTAAATACAAAGGTAACACCACTTAATCCCATGGGAAAGTATGTTGGAGACAACTATATTTGAGAAGAGCCTTGAGTCAAGATTTTTGTAAAAGTTTTTGTATTTCTAATAGTAATGAAGGATATGTTCTGCTAAAATTGACTATAATGTGGATCATCTATAAATATGGTGCTATTTTACTCAGTTTAATAAAGTATTTGCATTGTCTTTCTAGTAATTTTTTAGGCATTTATGTTGCTCATTTGATCCTCTCAGATAAAAAAAAATAGTACCATTTTCCTTGGCACCCCTGTCTTGCTTTTTTTATTTTTGGATCAGCCAACACACACTATGTGGAGCAAAAAACAAAAAGAATTTACAACAGTGCCAATATCAATGTAAAACAAACAACACATGTTTTTAGTTTTTAGTTAATTTGTTCCAAGAAATAGACGGTACCTTCCAAAGATTATATTTTGGAAGGTCTTTAAATCCTTGGAGGATCAAACTATAATTTTGCGTTTGGTAGATTATCATTTCCCTTTTATATTAAAGCCACAGTGATAATACTCCTATTTTTCATAGACAGTCTATTACCAATTTGAAAGGTCTGATGAGAAATAAAACCTACATGCTTAAAAATCACCAGTAGACACTAACATAGAGAATGTTGTGTCCATCCAGTGGTATGTTGGTCAAAAATTTAATGACCAATTCTCAAAAGAGGTGAAAAACACCCTGTTGTAGGATTTGCCAATTTATGCGTCATAAATACTCCCACTATTTCCTGTTTCAAGCTAACAACATGATATCACTAGATAGAATTGGAAAGAGATGCACAATTGGCTCTCACAAGTGGGTACTTGTTGGCTCCAGCACACCATCGTTGGTGTATTTTTAGTAGCAATGGTTAGAAATACAGTGAAACATATTAGAGACAGATTTTTTACTGGAATCCCTGCCAAAATAAACTTCTGAAAGTGTTGTTCCTTTTTTTTTTTTGTAATGGAGTCTCGCTCTGTTGCTCAGGCTGGAGTGCAGTGGCACAGTCTTGGCTCACTGCAACCTCGGCCTTCCAGGTTCAAGCGATCCTCCTGCCTCAGCCCCCCAGTAGCTGGAATTACAGGCACACACCACTACGCCTGGCTGATTTTTGTATTTTTAGTAGAGTCGGGGTTTCACCATGTTGGCCAGGCTGGTCTCGATCTCCTGACCTCAGATGATCCACTCGCCTTGGCCTTCGAAAGTGCTGGGATTACAGGCGTGAGCCACCACGCCTGGCCTGAAAGTGTTGTTCTGACTCTCAATCCCCAAAATTGTAAATGTCAACTGAACTCTTTGACCTGGCATCCAAGATCCAAATCAAACATTTCAAATTTCCTTGTAACAACTCTGTTTCATACATTAACCCAATGAAACTGAACTATTTGATTTGTATCAGTGTACACCAGAGATTTCCTGTGTTAGTGCCTTTAATAGTCCTGTTCTTATTTCTGAAACACCTTTTTTTCCTGATGACCCACATATCTAAATTTGATCTTTCAACAACCTGCTTAAGAACCACCTGCACTGTAATCCTTCTGTCTAAATAGATCTCTCCTTCCTCTGGTATCCTGTGGTCCAGACTTTATCTTCATTCTGGAATCAGTTTTTTCCTGAGTTTATAATTATATGCCTTTGTTTCTTATCTGCACTAATTTGACTACAAGCTCCCTAAGGGCAGGTACCAGGTGTAATTGATCTTTCTATCCCCCTGAGCTTCTAAAACATCATGAACGTCTTGAAATCTACAGTTGTGCCTAATTCATTTATTAGAGCAGAGGAGGAGAGAAAAAGTCTATGTTGTCATTTTAGAAAGAGCATGATCAGTTTTTATCAAGATTTAATTTAAAGCTTGTCTTTCCTTATAATTGCCAATTACAAACAGGAATTATGTGGTTTTCTCCTTAGGAATCCCTTCTGTAATTCAGTGAAAGAAATGATGGGTATGACAGGGCTGAGGACACATAATCATACAGATGTGCCAATATATCTTACACATTATTTGATGCAAATAAAGTATTCCCCAAAAAACTCATTTTCATATCTACCATTTTGACTTTTAAGCTCCACAGTACTTGCATCAATCAGAAAACAGTATAGTAGTAACCCTTTACTAAGTCTAAAGACATTTCTCTTAGAGAGAATTCATGAATTTTATCTTGACAATACACCTGCAAAGATCACACTTAAGGTTTTAATATTTGAAATCTCAAAAGAATAGATGAAAGCACGGCTGAGAGCAAATGCATAACTTAAATGCAAAGAACAACAACAAAAAACCCCATGAAATCAAAAAGTATGAGGGAGGTAGAGACAAAGACACAAAATCAGAAGCTAAATTTTTACATATTTAAAACTTTATGCTTCAAAAGTCTGTACTTACTAATCAATTTAATAAAGCTGTGGAAAAATTTTACCTTCTGTTACTTATATGATTATTTATTAAGAAACACAGGAGTTCCTTTGTAAACTTTTTGTTAATCTATATGCTCATTAAATATGCAAGAATATGATCTTATTATTTATATGGAAAGGGAGATATGGGCAAGACTATTCTATAAGGTATTTAAAACTGAATATCTTTCTGTAAAACAAATCAAAATAAAAACAAATCCTCTAAACAACAGTGAATGTATTCATCTCAATTCAGCCTTCAGCGCTTATCAGTAAAAACTTTAGTAGACAACATAGTCATCAGAATTACTTTGTCACAACTCTACAAAGATTTTGCTAATTCTTTTCAAGTCCATTTCATTAGTTGGAAAAAAAATAAAATATTAAAAAAATTCAAATCCTGATTTAATAAGTGAAGGATTTAAATAAATTACATCCTTTCCATGTTCAATGAACTCTCAATGAATTTCACTGCAATCCATTGCCAAGCAGCTAGACTATATCCTTAGGAATTTCAACAATGTCCTTATATTAAAGTGACAAGTTGAACTAATAGTTTACTTAGTATTTCAGCCTCGCAAGATTATAAATGAGTTGGAATATCTCTTTTTAACTCTATCAATCATCTAAAAATGCAAGATTATAATTAATACATTAATGCTGCTATTTTAAACTTCAAGAAAGTTATGCCTATGATAGGATGTTTGTCAATGAAATTCAAGCTATTTAAAGGCAAATTAAAATTTTATATTAGGATTTGTATATGATCGTACACTGGCGGTTACACATAATTTTGACTGATAAATTGACAACTTAGTATTTCTGTGAAGCTGTTTTTCATACAGTGAACATTTCCTTGTAAGTTACAGCAGCCAAGACATTATATTTCTGGATATGTTCATTTTGTTTTTTAGCTCCAGGTCATGGCTCCATCACCAAGGACCAGTGGCCCATGGAAGTTAGAAAGGCAAAGATCATTTAGTACTTTGATGAAAGACTAAGAGAATATCAGTGTATTTATTTTGTAAAACATGTGTATTCCTAAACATAAACTTTGGTGTATTTTAGAAATTATGAGCCTTATGGGATAACAACCCAGGAAATCTGCTAGAGATCTTTTAGGCTTTCAGTTATGCATAGATTAAATGTTTTATAGCCCAATCCTCCACATTTTGTCCAATCACTACTTCATTGAACTGACAGGGAAAACAGTAAAGCTAAGATCACTAATTGCAGAAATTACAATGTAATTTCAACTGAAATGAAGTCAAGAAAAGTAAAATATGTTAAAGAAATTATTTGTATTATTAAGTGCTGGCTTGCTTATGTGCCAATATGCCAAAAGAGGCAATATTTAATTTTTGAAAAAATATTCTCCCTCACTTTTAAAACACATAAATATTAATGAACAAGTATCATCTCTTTCAAGTAGAAAGCTAGGTTTTTTTCCTTCAATAACAACATAAAAATATCTAATATATCGAAAATGCACAGCTATTTTTAGGTTACCTACAATGGTATAATAAACTGAAAATCACAGAAATGTGTTCTTAAAAAATGATCAACGGCCGGGCGCGGTGGCTCACGTCTGTAATCCCAGTACTTTGGGAGGCTGAGGCGGGTGGATGACGAGGTCAGGAGTTCAAGACCAGCCTGGCCAAGATGGCAAAACCCCATCTTTACTAAAAAATACAGAAAAAATTAGCTGGGTGTGGGGGTGGGAGCCTGCAATCCCAGCTACTCAGGAGGCCAAGGCAGAGAATCGCTTGAACCCGGGAGGTGTAGGTTGCATGAGCTGAGATCACCCCACTACACTCCAGCCTGGGCAACAGAGTAAGACTCCCTCTCAAAAAAAAAAAAAAAAAAAAAAGCAACAACTTTATAGCTTCCTGAGCTATAATCTTTATTCAAATAATTATTTGTGTGTATTTGGAAGTAGCCAATAAATAGCTAAATGTAGTTCATTGAGAGAAAATTAATGTATGTATGTTACTCTAAAATCACATGGTAGGTGCTCATAAGAAAAAAAATTTTGTCAGAAGATTTTATACTCAGAAATGCTAGATTTTGTAAAGTGTGTGTCTTAATCTGAGCCATATAATATGATGTACAGAAATCTTCAGAAAGACATATTCATTTAACACAGATTAATTTTCTATTAACATTTATGCATGTATTTAATAAAAGTAAATATATTTAGTTGATAATTCATTCAAGACAAGGATTTCTGATTGTTCACCGAAGAATGTGACATTATCTTTCATGATATATTTTAATTTAATAATATAATATTTTAAGATATCTTAAGCTATTTATGGTGTTTCTTAATTTAATAAAATATTAAATTTTAATGGATTGCATGGGAAATATTCACACTCGTATTCTTATCACATAATACTGTAATTAAAAGTTAAATTACGTTTAGATACTTTAGTTGTTTTAGGATTTTATACTATTTATTAAAATTGATTTATCAATAATCCCATGTCTCACTATAACATCAAAATGAATATAGAGGCTATTTTTTTGTTTTTTTGAGACGGAGTCTCGCTCTGTCACCCAGGCTAGAGTGCAGTGGTGTGATCTCAGCTCACTGCAACCTCCACCTCCTGGGTTCAAGCGATTCTCCTGCTTCAGCCCCCTGAGTAGCTGGGATTACAGGTACATGCCACCAAACCCGGCTAACTTTTGTATTTTTAGTAGAGATGGGGTTTCGCCGTGTTGTCAGGCTGCTCTCGAACTCCTGAGCTCGTAATCTGCCCACCTCAGCCTCCCAAAGTGCTGGGATTACAGGCATAAGCCACTGTGCCCAGCCTAGAGGCTATTTTTTAAACTGTAATATTTGTGTGGTACTCATTAATTTTTTTGCACCTGCTAAATATATACATGGTGTATTAAAATCAATAGAAGTTCAAGGAATAGAACTCAGAATTATTTACTTCTTTTCTGATCTAACTACCAATACATGTCACCTTACATTGACGTTTTTAATGTGAAAATTTAGGAAGAAGCATATATCTTGGGCTGTGATTTCAAAACACTACATGTTTGAATAGTCAGTTTGTGTTGTACTGATTTGCATTGGATTATTGTGAGCAAAGTATCAAGACTGAAACACAAAAACTCTCTTACCGTAGAATAATACAATACAGAACAGTATAGATTTGGTGATTGTATAAGAAAATAATTTTAATTAGGTTTTATAATTTGTAGTCAAGTATATGAATATGCATACTTTTCAAAACGTAATGTTTTAAAAGTCACCATAATTCTATACTTTGTTGAAGGAGGAGTGGCAAAATTAAGAATAAGTAGCATTCTAAAGTGACTATAGTTGGTAAAAATATATTGTATAATTCAAAGTAGGTGGAAAAGAGGACATGAAATGTTACCAACCCATACAAATGATAAATAGTCAAGGTGATGGATGCTTCAAATACCCTGACTTGATCATTACTCATTCTATACATGTGACAAATACTCACAAGTATCCCATAAATATGTAAAATATTATGTCTTAGGTAAATAAAAAAGTAGCATTATTTCTCTTTTTTTCATGTGCAGATATATTGAGATTTTAGATATAATCAATAACATAATCAGCAATTTCTAAAACATTCAAAACATGTAGCAATAGTTTTGTCTTAATAATGAAATTCTGAAACTATTGAATGAGGAAATATTTATCCAATTTTCAAAATGCATTAATTAGTCTTTGGTAAAATCTCTGTCCCACCCCAGAGAAAAATGGCCAACCAGAAGCCTCCACTGATTGTCCACTTGACAGGAACATAAAAGTCTAACAACTAACTACACACACACAAAAAGCAATGTCATAAGGTCAAAAATCAGGTTAGCAATCACATTACTTGGTTTTAACTTCATATCACCAAAAGAGGCACTGAGAAGGCTAGGAAAGACAGTCGTGTATCATGGACGTCACCCCTCCCATATCGCTGGCAGTGGCTGTATGCAAGGAGAGAATCTTTGCACTTGGGAGAGAGAAACAACAGCGACTGGAGGACTCGGCATTGGACTCAGTGCTGCCCTGTCACAGTGGTGAGCAAAGTCTTGCTGGGCTCAGCCATCACCCACCCACAGAATGAACATTTGGACCAGCCCTAGCCAGAGGGGAATTCCCCATCCCAGTGGTTGGAACTTGAGTTTCTCATCAAGCCTTGCCACCATGGGGTAAAGCGCTCTGAGATCCTGGGTAAATTTGAAAGGCAGTCAAAAGCACAAAGACTAAAATTCCTAAGCATGTCCTAGTGCTGGGCTGGGCCTAGAGCCAGGGGACCAGAGCAACATGTGACCTAGGGAGACATCAACCGGGGAAACTAAGGGAGTGCTTGTGTCAACTTCCCCCTCCAATCCCCCCAGCCCCAGGCAGTGCTTGAGGAGAGGAGAGCAAAGAGTAAAGAGGACTTTGCCTTGCATCTTGGATACCAGCTCAGCCAAAATAAGATAGGGCACTAGGCAGAGTTGTGAGGTCCCTATTTCTAGGCCCTGGATGTTGGATGACATGCTAGACATACCCTGGGCCAGAAAGTAATCTGCTGATTTGAAGGGAAGGACACAATTGTGGCATAATTCAATAGACTCTGAGTAACCATCAGTGATAACCAGATAGTACATGGTGGGACTTCAGTGAGATTGTGAGACATGCTGGCTTCAGGTGAGACCCAGCACATTCCCAGCTGTGGTGGCTGTGATGAAAGACTCCTACTGCTTCAGAAAAGCAGAGGGAAAAGCAAAGGGAACTTTTCTTACACCTTAGGTATCAGCTTATCCACAGTGGGGTACAGCATAAAGCAGGTTCTTGGGGTCCCTAAGTCCAGGCCTAGCCTCTTGGATAACATTTATGAACCTGCCCTGGGCCAGAGGGGAGCCCACTTCCATGAAGGGTGAGTCCCAGGCCTGGCAGCATTTACCACAAGCTGACTGAGCAGCCCTTGGGCTTTAAGTGAACATTAGCAGTGGCCTGGCAGAAATCCCTGTGGGCTGGTGGTGGTGGTGTCCACTGGGAGAGGCTCCTCTGCCTGTGAAAAGGGGAGAGAAGAGGAGAAGGACTTTGTCTTGTGGTTCAAGAACCAGCTTAGCCATAGTACAATAGAATACCAGGTAGATTTTTAAGGTATTTGACTCTAATTCTTGGCTCCCAGATAGCATCTCTGGACCGGCACAGGGCCTGGAAAACTTGCTGCCCTGAAGAAGAGGTCACAAACATGGCTGGATTTCCCACCTGCTGATTGTAGAGCCCTAGGGCCTTGAGTTAACATAGAAAGGAGCCTGGTAGTGGTTACAGTGGGCCTTGGGTGAGACCCAGTGCTGTGCTGGTTTCAGGTCTGCCCAAGCACAGTCACAGTGTTGGTGGCTCCAACTTTAATTCTTCCAAATCTTTTACAAGACCACCAAGGCAGTGCTTCTATGAGTCTCCATGGATGACAGTAGTATTGGGCTTGGGGTTCAAGTCTCTTTTAGGACCTGGAAAGTGGTATTAGTCCATTTTCACACTGCTGATAAAGACATATCCAAGACTGGGCAACTTATACAGGAAAGAGGTTTATTGGATTTACAGTTCTAGGTGGCTGGAGAGGCCTCATAATCATAACAGAAGGGGAAAGGCAAGTCTCACATGGCAGCAGACAAGAGAAGAGAGCTTGTGCAGGCAAACTCTCATTTTTAAAACCATCAGATCTCCTGAGACTCATTCACTTTCACAAGAACAGCATAGGAAAGACCCGTCCCCATTTCAATCACCTCCCTCTGGGTTCCTCCCACGACACATGGCAATTGTGGGTGTTACAATTCAAGATGAGGTTTGGGTGGGGACTCAGCCAAACCATATCATTCCACCCCTGGCCCTTCCCAAATCTCATGTTCTCACATTGCTTTCAAACTGTGCTGGCAAAGGTTCTTCTTGAGAGCCCTGCCCCTGCAGCAAACTTCTGCCTGGACATCCAGGCATTTCCATACCTCTTCTGAAATCTAGTCAGAGGTTCCCAAACCTCAATTCTTGACTTCTGTGCAATTGCAGGCTCTATACCACGTGGATACTGCCAAAGCTTGAGGCTTGCGCCCTCTGAAGCCATGGCCTGAGTTCCATGTTGGCCCTTTTCAGCCATGGCTGGAGCTCCTGGGACATAGGGCACCAAGTCCCTGGGCTGTACACAGCATGGGGACCTTGAGCCTGGCCCACAAAACCATGTTATCCTCCTAGGCCTCTGAGCCTGTGATTAGAGGGGCTGCCATGAAGACCTCTAACATGCCCTGGACCCCTTTGTCTTGGGGATTAACATTGGGCTCCTTGTTACTTGTGCAAATTTCTGTAGCCCGCTTTAATTTCTCCTCAGAAAATGAGATTTTCTTTTCTATTACATTGTCAGGCTCTGAATTTTCTGAACTTTTATGCTCTCCTTCCCTTATAAAACTGAATGCCTTTAACAGCACCCAAGTCACATCTTGAATGATTTGCTGCTTAGAAATTTCTTCCACCAGGCAACCTACAGAATAGGAGAAAATTTTTGCAATCTACCCATCTGACAAAGGTCTAATATCCAGAATCTACAAGGAACTCACACAGTTACGAAAAAAAAAAAAAAAACCCACAAATAACCCCATCAAAAAGGGGGCAAATGATATGAACAGACACTTCTCAGAAGAAGACATTTATGTGGCCAACAAACATACACAAAAAACCCTCAACATCACTGATCATTAGAGAAATACAAATTGAAACCACAATGAGATACCATCTCATGCCAGTCAGAATGATGATTATTAAAAAGTCAAGAAACAATAGATGCTGTAGGCTGTGAACAAATAGGAATGCTTTGACACTGTTGGTGGGAATGTAAATTAGTTCAACAATTGTGGAAGATAGTGTGGCAACTCTTCAAGGATCTAGGACCAGAAATACCATTTGACCAAGCAAAGGAATCCCAAAGGAATATAAATCATTTTACTATAAAGATACATGCACACTATGTTTATTGCAGCACTATTTACAATAGCAAAAACATGGAACCAACCCAAATGCCCATCAGTAATAGACTGGATAAAGAAAATGTGGTACATATACACCATGGAATACTATGCAGCCGTAAAAAGGAATGAGATCATGTCCTTTGCAGGGACATGGATGAAGCTGGATGCCAACATCCTCAGCAAACTAACACAGGAACCGAAAACCAAAAACCACATGTTCCCACTCATAAGTGGGAGTTGAACAATGAGAACACATGGACACAGGGAGGGTAACATCACACACTGGGGCCGGTTGGGAGGTAGGGGGTGAGGGGAGCGACAGCATCAGGACAAATAGCTAATGCATGCGAGGCTTAGAACCTAGATGATGAGTAGATAGGTGCAGCAAACCACCGTGGCACACGTATACCTATGTAATGAATCTGCATTTTCTGCACATATATCCCAGAATTTAAAATAAAATAAAATGAAATAAAATAAAATAAATCTCTTCCACCAGATACCCTAAATCATATCTCTCAAGTTCAAAGTTTCAGAAATTTCTAGGGCATGGGCAAAATACCGCCAGTCCCCTTGCTAAAACATAACAAGAATCACCTTTGCTCCAGTTCCCAATAAGTTCCTCATCTTCATCTGAGACCACCTCAGCCTGGACTTTATTGTCCTTATCACTATCAGAATCTTGGGCAAAGCCATTTAACAAGTCGCTAGGAAATTCCAAACTTTCTCAAATTGTCCTGTCTTCTTCTGAGCCCTCCAAACTGTTCCAACCTCTGCCAACCAGTTCCAAAGTTGCTTCCACATTTTCGGGTATCTTTTCAGCAGCGCCCCTCTCTACTGGTTCCAATTTACTGTATTAGTCCATTTTCATGCTTGGGTATGATAAAGACATACCCAAGACTGCACAATTTATACAGGAAAGAGGTTTATTGGACTTACAATTCCACGAGGCTGGGGAGGCCTCACAATCTTGGTGGAAGGTGAAGGGCATATCTCACATGGCAGCAGACAAGAGAAGAGAGATTGTGCAGGCAAACTCCCATTTTTAAAACCATCGAATCTCGTAAGACTATTCACAATCATGAGAACAGTGCAGGAAAGACCTGCCCCCATAATTCAATCACCTCCCACCGCGTTCCTCCCATGACAAGTGGCAATTGTAGGAGTTACAATTCAAGATGAGGTTTTGGTGGAGACAAAGCCAAACCATATCAAAGACCATCCGAAGAAAGATGGGAAACAATCCCAGACTGTGAAGAGTACAATGAACACCGAACTCCTCAATATACAGACATAAACAAACATCTACGAGCATCAGTAACCTCCAGGAAAACATATTCTCACCAAAGGAACTAAATAAAACATCACAGATCAATCCTGAAGAAACAGAGATATATGCCCTTTGAGACAGATAATTCAAAATATCTGCTTTGAGAAAACTCAAAGAGATTCAAGATAGCACAGAGTATGAATTTAGAATTCTATCAGATAAACTTACAAAGAGATAGCAATAATTTAAAAGTATCAAGCAGAAATTATGGAGTTGAAAATTGAAATTGGCATACTAAAGAATGCATCGACTCTTTTAACAGCAGAATTAATCAAGCAGAAGAAATAATTAGTGAACGTAAAGACAGGCTATTTGAAAAGTCAACGTAGATAAAAGAAAAAAGAATATGAAAGCATAAAGCACACTTGAAAGCTATTGCTATCTAGGTAATAACCTCGAAAGGGCACATATAAGAGTTATTGGCCTTCAAAAGGAGGTAGAGAAACAGATAGGGGTAGAAAGTATATTTAAATGGATAATATCAGGAAATTTCTCAAACCTAGAGAGTGATATCAACATTCAAGTACAAGAAAGTTATAGAACACCAAGCAGATTTAACCTAAAGAAGACTACCTCAAGGCATTTAATAATCAACTTCCCAAAGGTCAATTCTAAGGAAAAGAACCTAAAAGCAGCAAGAGAGAAGAAACAAATAACATACAACAAAGCTCCATTACATCTGGCAGCAAACTTTTCAGTCGAAACCTTACAGGCCAGAAGAGATAGTCAGGACATATTTAAAGTGCTGAAGGAAAAAACTTTTACCAGATAATAGCAAAAATTGGCAAAAATATCCTTGGAGCACGAAGGAGAAATAAATATTTTCCCAGAGAAACAAAAGCTGAGGAATTTCATAAACACCAGATACGTGCTACAAGAAATGCTAAAGGGAATGCTTCAATCTGAAAGAAAAGGACATTAATGAGCAGGAAGAAATCATCCCAAGGTATAAAACTCACTGGTGACAGTAAGCACACAGAAAAACACAGAATAATATAACACTGTAACTGTGGTGTATAAACTACTGTTATCCTAAGTAGAAAGGCTAAACAATTAACCACTCAAAAATAATAATTACAAGACAGTATAACAAGATATAAACAGAAACAAAAAAGTTAAAAACTAGGGAAACAAAGTTAAGGTGTAAAGTTTTTATTAGTTTTATTTTTGCTTGTTTGTTTATGCAAACAATGTTAAGGTGTTATCAGCTTAAAATAATGGGTTATAAGATGATATTTGCAAGCCTCATGGTAATCTCAAAAAACAACCCTAAAATGGATATACAAAAATTAAAGACCAAGAAATTAAATCTTGCCACCAGAGAAAATCACCTTCAGTAAAAGTAAGACAGGAAGGATGAAGAAAAGGAAGAAAAGACCACAAAACAAACAGAAAACCAATAACAAAAAGGAAGGAGTAAGTCTTTACTTATCAATAATTACATTGAATATAAATAGACTAAACTCTCCAATCAAAAGGCATAAAACAGCTGAATGGATAAAAAAAGCAATTCCCAATGATGTGTTGATTACAATAAACATAGTTCATCTATAAATGTACACACAGACTGAAAATTTACAAAATGAAAAAAGATATTCTGTGTCAATGGAAACCAAAAAAGAGCAGGAGTAGCTATACTGATATCAGACAAAATGGATTTCAAGGCAAAAACTGAAAAAAGAGACAAAGAAGGTTATAGTATAATGATAAAGTAGTCAATTCAGAAAGAGGATATAACAATAGTAAATAAATATTCACCCAACGCTGGAGCACCCAAATATATATAAAAAAATATTAGAGTTAAAGAGAGTAATAGACCCCAACACAATAATAGCTGGAGACTTCAGCACCCCACTTTTAGCACTGGACAGATCTTTCAGGCAGCAAATTAAACATCTGACTTAATCTGCCCTATAGAGCAAATGGACCTAATAGATATTTACAGAACATTTCATCCAACAGCTGCATAATACGCATTCTTTTCTTCAGCACATGGATCATTCTCAAGGATAGACCATACCTTAAGTCACAAAATGGGTCTTTAAACATCCAAAAAATTGAAATCATATCAAGCATCTTCTAAAAACACCATTTGATAAGCCTAGAAATCAATAACAAGAGGTATTTGGGAACTATACAAACACAGGGAAATTAAATAAAATGCTGAATTACCAGTGAGTCAATGAAGAAATTAAGAAGAAAATTGAAAGATGTTTTAAAACAAATGATAATAAAAACACAACATATCAAAACCTATGGGAACAGCAAAAGTACTACTAAGCGGAAAGTTTATAGCTGTAAGTGCTTACATTTAAAAAAAAAAAGAAAAAGAAAAACTTCAAATACATAACCTAACTATGCATCTTAAAAAACTGGAAAAACAAGAGCAAACCAAACTCAACATTAGTAGAAGAAAATAAATAATAAAGATCGGAGGAGAAATAGATGAAATTGAAATAAGGAAATGATACACAAGATCAAAGAAATGAAAAGTTGGCTTTTTGAAGACATAATTGACAAACTTTTAGGCAAACTGAGAAGAAAGAGAGAAGACACAAATATACAAAATCAGAGATGAAAAAGGAGACATTATGACTGAAACCACAGTAATTTAAAGGATTATTTAAAGGACTAATTTAAAGGATTATGAGCCACTCTGTGTCTATAAATTGGAAAACCTAGAAGAAACAAATTAATTCATAGACACATACAACCTACAAATATTGAACCATGCAGAAATCCAAAACCTGAAAAGACCACTAACAAGTAATAAGAACTAAACAATAATATGAAGTTTCTAGAAAAAAAAAAAAAAGGCCTGGGACCCAATGGCTTCACTGTTGAATTCTACCAAACATTTATAGAAGAACTAATGCCAATCCTACTCAAACTACTCCAAAGAATAAAGCAGAAGGGAATACTTCCAAATTCATTCTATGAGGCCAGTATTACTCTCATACCAAAAGCAAAGACATGTCAAGAAAGAAAACTACAAGCCAATACCTCTGATGAATATTGATGCAAAAATCCTCAACAAAATACTAGCAAACTTAATCCAACAATACATTTAAACTGATCATTTGCTGGGCCCAGTGACTTATGCCTAAAATCCCAGTACTTTGGGAGGCTGAGGTGAGCAGATCGCTTGAGCCCAGGAGTTCAAGACCAGCCTGGGCAACATGGAGAAACCCTATAGCTACAAAAATGTAGCCAGGCATGGTGGCGAACACCTGTAGTCCCAGTTCTTTGGGAGGCTGAGATGGGAGAATCACATGAGCCCAGGAAGTTGAGACAGCAGTGAGCCGTCATTGCATTAGCCTCAAAAAAAAAAAAAAATCATTTATCATGGTCAAGTGGGATTTATCATAGGGATTCAAGAATTATTCAACATATGCAAATCAATTGATGTGGTACATCATAGCAACAGAATGAAGGACAAAACTACATGATCATTTCAACTGATCCCAGAAAAGTATTTGATAAAATTCAACATCCCTTCATGATAAAAACCCTTAAAAGACTAGGGATAGAAGAAACATACCTCAATATAATAAAAGCCATATACAACAGGCCCACATTGAGTATCATACTGAATGGGAAAAAAACTGAAAGCCTTTCCTCCAACATCTGGAACACGACAAGGATACCCACTTTAACCATTGTTATTCAACATAGCACTGAAAGTCCTAGCTAGGGCAATTAAACAAGAGAAAGAAATAAAGGGCATCCAAATTGGAAAGGAAGAAGTAAAATTATCTTGGTTTGCTGATGATATGATCTTATACTTGGAAAAACCTAAGGACCCCACAAGAACACTCTTACAACTGGTAAACAAATTTAGTAAAATTGCAGGATAGAAAATAAACATGGAAAAATCAGTAGCATTTCTATATGCTAGCAGTGACCAATGTAAAAAGGAAAAAAAAGTAAGCCCATTTACAATAGCCACAAATAAAAATGAATACCGAGGAATTAACCTAACCGAAGAACTGAAAAATCAAGACAATGAACATTATAAAACAGTGCTGGAAAAAACTGTAGAGGACAAAAAAAATGGAAAGACATTCCATGTTAATGAATTGGAAGAATGAATATTGTTAAAATGGCCACACTACTCAATGCAATCTCCAGATTCAACGCAATCCCTAAAAGAATACCAATAACATTCTTCACAGAAATAATTTTTAAAAATCCTAAAATTTATATGCGAACACCAAACACCCAGAGTAAACAAAGCTATCTTGAGAAAAAAGAATAAAACCGGAGGAATAACATTACATGACTTTAAATTTTACTACAGAGCTATAGTAACAAAAATGGCATGCACTGACATTAAAAACAGACACATAGATCAGTGGAACAGAATAGAGAACCCAGAGATAAATCCATACACCTACAGTGAACTCCTTTTCAACAAAGGTGCCAAGAACATACTCTGGGGCAAAGACAGTCGCTTCAGTAACTGATGTTGGGAAAACTGGATATCCATGTGCAGAAGAATGAAACTAGATCCCTGTCTCTCACCATATACAAAAAAGTCAAATCACAATGAATTAGACTTAAATCTAAGACATGAAATTATGAAATGAACACAAGAAAACATTGGAGATATGCTCCAGGACATTGGTCTGGGCAAAAATTTCTTGAGTCATACCCTACAAGCCAAGGCAACCAAAGCAAAAATGGACAAATGGCATCATATCAAGTTAAAAAGCTTCTATGCAGCAAAGAAAACATTTTGCCAAGTGAAGAGACATCACACAGAATGGGAGAAAATATTTAAAAGCTACACATCTGATAAAGGATTAATAACCAGAACATATGAGGAGGTTAAACAACTCTGTAGGAAAAAAAATCTAATAATCCGATTAAAAATGGGCAAAAGATTTCAATAGATATTTCTAAAAACCAGAAATATAAATAGCAAACAGGTATATGAAAAGTTGCTCAACGTTGATTGTTAGACAAATGTAAATCAAAACTACAATGAGATATAATGTCACCCCAATTAAAAGGAAATATCTAAAGTCAGGCAATAACAAATGTTGGTTAGGATGTGGAGTATAGGGAACTCTTGTACCCTGTTAGTGGGAATGTAAATTAGTACAACCACTATGGAGAAAAGTTTGGAGGTTCCTCAAAAAACTAGAAATAAAGCTACCATACAATCCCGCCATCCCACTGCTGCATATATACCCCAAAGAAAGGAAACCAGTATAATGAAGTGATATCTGCACCCCCATGTTTGTTGCAGCACTGTTCACCATAGCCAAGACTTGAAAGCAATCTAAGTGTCCATCAACAGACGAATGGATAAAAGAAAGTCATACATATACACAATGATTTTCAATCATAGAAAGGCTGAGATCCTGTCATTTGCAACAGCATGGATGGAATTGAAGATCATTGGGTTAAGTGAAATAAGCCAGGCACAGAAAGACAAACTTTTCATGTTTTCACTTCTTTGTGGGATCTATAAATGAAAACAATTGAACTCATGGACATTGAGAGTAGACAGATGGTTACCAGAGGCTGGGGAGAGTAGTTCGAGGGTTGGGGGAGATGGGGATGGTTAATGGGTAAAAAATAAAATAGAAAGAATGAATAAGACCTAGTATTTTCTAGCACAGCAGGGTGACTATAGTCAATAATAATTAAATAGTACATTTTAAAATAACGTAAAGTGAAACTGGATTGTTTGTAACACAAAGCATAAGTGCTTGAGGGGATAGATGCCCTATTTTGATGTAATTATTATGCATTGCACACCTGTATCAAAGTATCTCATCTACCTCATAAATATATATACCTACTATATACCCACAAAAATTAAAAATTAAAAAAAAACTAAAATAAAAAATCTTTGCCCAACCAGAAAATATTATAATATTGTAAAACCACTCAGTTACTATTTAGAAATATAGCTTGGCCAGGCGCGATGGCTCACACATGTAATCCCAGCACTTTGAGAGGCCAAGGCGGGCAGATCACGAGGTCAAGAGATTGAGACCATCCTGGCCAGCAAGGTGAAACTCCATCTCTACTAAAAACACAAAACTTAGCTGGGCATGGTGGCACGTGCCTGTAGTCCCAGCTACTTGTGAAGCTGAGGGAGGAGAATCGCTTGAACCTGGGAGGTGGAGGTTGTAGTGAGCCGAGATCGTGCCACTGCACTCTAGCCTGGCCACAGAGCAAGACTCCATCTCAAAAAAAATTGAAATATAGCTTAACCGAAAGGTTGAAATCTACTTATTGTTTCTCTTTGCGTCTTATTGGCCTGAATTTCTAATATCAATCAACACCCCCATCTGAAATGGACAAATCAATTAATATTTCTCTTTATGTAATAGGTGATATAATAAGGTTTTAAATTATGAAAAATTATGTTCAAATGCAATGTTCATTAAGCAACATTTCTAAAATCCAAAAAGCTTCTCTTTATTTTTAGAAATATTTTATACTACCTAATGTTCAAAACAATTTTGAAATGTACTCCCTCTCCCCCATTTCTCTGCAAAAAGTTTCCTAAAACAGCATATGCTACTATAAGCCTAAACAACAACTCACCTGTACTAGGATTATATTGGTAAACTAAAGGAAGTGTGTGTGGTAGTCTTTCATATATGGTGAATTTAGATAAATTTTGACAAAAGAATCTTAATTACATTGGGAGCTCTACAATCTCATATTCATTATAAATGCCTGATTTCCTCCAACTTCTGATGATGTCACATATTTTAAGTTTTAACTAGAAAGAGGGAGAAATTTCAGCCTCACTTGAATGCCCAAGGTGAAATTGAGATCAGTGGCAATCCAATAAACTGCGATAGAAAGACAGTTAACAGTAATGGGAGAAGGATTCGAGCATATAAAATAATGCTAATTATGTTCAATCATTACCCACGGGAGGTGGTGATAAAAGGGACACTGGACTTTAGATATAATCTTCGAAAACTTTGCCATCAGTCAACTTGCTCCTAAAGACTAGGGCCACTGAAGTCTCCTTTAATCAGCAGTTGTCCCTATCCTGTAGCAGATGTGCATTTTGCCAACAAACTGAGCCACATTCTCATAATGCATAAGCTACTCCCGGGGAGTGTAATAAGCCTTTCTGGAAGCTACATTAACTCTTTAAAGCACTGAAGCAGTAATTTTCAATGGTATCCTTCTGGCCCAACAAAAAGACAAGAAAATGGCAAAACCAAGAGTGTGTGTACATTGCTCATGATGGGTCATTGATTCTTCCTTCCAACCTGGCACAATTTGCAGTTTTAGCAAAAAATCTCAGAAGGAGAACAAAGATAGCTTGTCTTTGCTGTTTCTGTTATTGCTGTGTTTTTGGCCTCCTTTGTACCAATGTTTATACCTGGTGAGTCCTAGAGAAAGTATTCAGAGGGCAAACAAGTAGAGAGTAATTCATGAGTATCTGGGCTTCATGGTATTTTAAAAATGAAATGTGATAATCACTTATAAATGGCAATTCATAGAGAAGAGCAAAGAAGCTAGTTTGAGTGAGGGAGAAAGTAGTAGGAAAAGAAATGGTAGACCTGAAGGAAGATCTCGTAGGGCCTTGTAGACCACTGTAAGGACCTTGGGTTTTACTCTAAATGAGAAGCAGACTTTGGAGATTTGAAAAGAGGAATTAGCTGACTTCCTTTAATAGAACCTCTCCCAGCTATATTGAGAAGACAGTGTGATAAAGAAGATGTGAAAACAGGAGACAATTATAGAGACTATTGGAATAATTCAGGTGAAAGATAATGGTGACTTGGACCAGTGTAGAAATAGTGAAGAAGGTAAGTTAATAAATTGTAGGTCTGACTTCTATTCACAAGCAAGAAGCTTATAAATAAGGATCAAACCTTCAAATCTGTCCTAATCCTTACTGTCACCATCTTACAGAATATGAAGTATATAATATTACCCACAGATATACTTTGGAGAGGTTTCTGCCAATTTTCCAAGACTTCCCTCACTGTGTGATCTTTAAATTTTAACACTTACCTTTGTTTCTCTTAGTTAATAAGCTTTTGATGACACTGACTATGCAGGGAGCATTACACTTGCCACTATAAGACAATTAAATAATAATATTTAGAAAACTCTAAACTTAAATGGTAAGTTAAACTCTTAAGGGTAAGATTAGATGTTTAGAAAGCTGGGACAAGCATCATTAAAAAATTTAATTAAAAAGTTCACAGTATGGACTCATCTATGACAAATTGAAAGAAAGAAAATAAAGTCAAATGGAGAAAGCCTATAAATGCTTTTTAGCAAGAAAACATCAAATATAAAATATGCCTAATTCAGATGGAAAGAAAATGACATAATAAATTGAATTTTCTTGCAATTCAATGACATGACAATGGTCATGTACACATTTGTAACAATAACTTAGATCTCGTGTCCTGGCTGAAACATTGAATATTAAGTCAGTTCCCACTGGATTATTATAGTTTTGTTTATATAAGTGAATTTCAGATACTTAACTATATTTTTGCAGCTATATTGCAATATTATATGTATTTTATAATGCTTTTTTATGCATGGACTAACTACTAAGCATAATTCATAAATCTAATATTCATGCATTGGTGAAAAGGAGAGTGATACGGTATTACTTTCATGCTTCTCTTGCTACGCTATATATAAGATGTAATAAACTTAATTTATGACTACCGTTTCTCTTTCTTGGCCATAATAAACATGGACCCTAGGGCTATTTAACTGTTCTGCATATCTCCTATCCTTCAGTTAAGAAACAATTAGTAAAAATTGCTTCGGCTCCCTATGTTCTATATTATTTGACGTCTAGATAGCTGGTAGATGTAAATTTGGCTACTGTAAACGCATTTAGATCCCAACTAGGAGTTTTCTTTTACAGGCCAATAAGCCCCTTGGTAATTGTATTCCAATGAGATAAGGAAGCTAAATTATTAGATCATACCAATATATTATCATATTATTATAAAAATGACACTATCATTGAGACACATTCATACATAAATATAATATGCAAATAAGGCACATTATATGTGTCATACACTATGTGTGTGGGTGCTGTGTGTGTGTATATATACACATATGCACAAATACTGGATATTTTAACACAAGGAAGAAATTTAAAACGTGTACCTTAACAAAATGCAAAACATAGCCACTAAAATGGCAATATGTATCCCTTATGATTGTGTAGAATAAACAGTCATCACATTCACATTCCCAAAGAAGACAGGGCAAAAGATGAAGAAAGATAGGCTAAATTGCAAGTGGATACAATTCTTTCCTTTTAGTCTAGAAGCGTCCCTTTATGGCATCAGAGTAGCAATTTTCCTCCCAGCATTTACCTTCTAATCAGGGAACAGGGAATAGAACCCCCAGGTAATAACTATGTTCATCTTGAAGGAGATATAGCTTCTATTCTCACATGACACATGGAGAAGAAAACAGGTAATAGAGTAAAAGTTTTCTTTTCTCCTTTCTACCTGTGCCCTACCCTTATGCAATGTTTGACATAAGAACCATAGTACTCAGAAACACATGCTCACAGGGATTTAATGCCTAAAATTGGAAAATTATTCTTCCTCCAAATTCCAAAAGGGAATCCATAGATACTATTTTGTTTCATTCACATCACTTGTGAAACCCCTATCATTTTCTCTTAAGAATGGATAATGAATGTTCCTTGAGTCTTATGGGAAATGTATCTCCTCTTTTAGCCACACATTCCTCCAGTGTGAGTGATCTACAGCAGGAGTTGGCTTTTTTTTTTCTGTAAAAAGGCAGATAGTAAATAATTTATGATTGTTGAACCATATGGTTTCTATTGCAAGTAGTCATCCTGCCACTGTAGTGTGAAAGCAGCAATAGGCATTACATAAATGAATGGCTGTGGCTTTGTTCTAATAAAACTTCATTTATGGACACTGAAATTTCACATAATTTTCACATATCACAAAACATTGTCCTTCTTTTGATTTTTTCTTAACTTTTAAGTTCAGAGGTACATGTGGAGGTTTGTTATATAGGTAAACTTGTGTCATGGGTGTTTGTTGTACAGATTATTTTATCACCCGGGAATTATGCTTAGTACCTATTAGTTATTTTTGCTGATCCTCTCCCTCCTCCCACCCTCCACCCTCCAGTAGGCCCCAGTGTCTCTTGTTCCCCTCTATGTGTCCAGAAGTTCTCCTTGTTTAGCTCTCACTTACAGGTGAGAACACGCGATATTTGGTTTGCTGTTCCTGTATTAGTTTGCTAAAGTAATGGCCCCCAGCTTCATCTATATTCCTGCATGAGCTCCTTCTTTTTTATGGTTGCATAGCATTCCATGGTGTATATGTACCACATTTTCTTTATCCAGTCTATCATCAATGGGCATTTGGGTTGGTTCCATGTCTTTGCTATTGTAAACAGTGCTGCAATAAACATATGTGTGCTTGTGTCTTTATAGTAGAATGATTTATATTCCTTTGGGTATATACCCAGTATTGGGATTGCTGGATCAAATGGTATTTCTAGATCTAGATCCTTGAAGAATCGCCACACTGTCTTACACAATGGTTGAACTAATTTACATTCCCACCAACAGTGTCAAAGCATTCCTATTTCTCCACAGCCTCCAGCATCTATTGTTTGTTGACTGTTTAATAATCGCCATTCTGACTGGTGTGAGATGGTATTTCATTGTGGTTTTGATTTGTATTTCTCTAACAATCAGCAATGTTGATCTTTTTTTCATAAGGTTGTTGGCTGCATAAATGTCTTCTTTTGAGAAGTGTCTGTTCATATCTTTTGTCCACTTTTTGATGGGGTTGTTTGTTTTTTTTTCTTGTAAATATGTGTGAGTTCCTTGCAGATTAATATCCTTTGTCCACTTTTTGATGGGGTTGTTTGGTTTTTTTTTTCTTGTAAATTTGTGTGAGTCCCTTGCAGATTCTGGATATTAGACCTTTGTCAGATGGGTAGATTGCAGAAATTTTCTCCCATTCAATGGGTTGCCTGTTCACTCTGATGATAGTTTTTTTTTGCTGTGCAGAAGCTCTTTAGCTTAATTAGATCCCATTTGTCAATTTTGGCTTTTGTTGCAATTGCTTTTGGTGTTTTCATCATGAAGTCCTTGCCCATGCCTATGGCCTGAATGGTATTGCCTAAGATTTCTTTTTGGGTTTTTTATGATTTTGAGTTTTATATTTAAGTCTTTAATCAAGACTTTTCTGCATATGGCTAGCCAGTTTTCCCAGCACCATTTATTAAATAGGGAATCCTTTTCCCAATTCCTATTTTTGTCAGGTTCATCAAAGATCAGATGGTTGTAGATGTGTGGTGGTATTTCTGAGGTCTCTATTCTATTCCATTGTATGTCAGTACCACGAAGTTTTGCTTATTGTAGCCTTGTAGTATAGTTTGAAGTCAGGTAGCATGATGCCTCCAGCTTTGTTTTTGTTTTGTTTTTTTTTTTTTTTTTTTGCTTAGGATTGTCTTGGCTATAAGGGCTCTTTTTTGGTTCCATATGAAATTTAAAGTAGTTTTTGCTAATTTTGTAAAGAATGTCAATGGTAGTTTAATGGGAACAGAATTGAATCTATAGATTACTTTGGGCAGTATGGCCGTTTTCACGATATTGATTCTTCCTATCTATGAGTCTGGAATGTTTTTCCTTTTGTTTGTGTCCTCTGTTATTTCTTGAGCAGTGGTTTGCAGTTCTCCTTGAAGAGATCCTTCATATCCCTTGTTAGCTGTATTCCTAGGTGTTTTATTCTCTTCATAGCAATTGTGAATGGGAGTTCATTCATGATTTGGCTCTCTGCTTGTCTGTTGTCGTTGTATAGGAATGCTTGTGATTTTTGCACATTGATTTTGTATCCTGAGACTTTGCTGAAATTGCTTACCAGCTTAAGTAGTTTTTGGGCTGAGATGATGGTGTTTTCTAAATATAGAATCATGTTGTCTGCAAACAGAGACAAGTTGACTTTCTCTCTTCCTATTTGAATACCGTTATTTATTTATCTTGCCTGATTTCCCCAGCTGGAACTTCCAACACCATGTTGAATAGGAGTGGTGAGAGAGGGCATCCTTGTCTTATGCTGGTTTTCAAAGGGAATGCTTCCAGCTTTTGCCCATTGAGTATGATATTGGCTGTGTATTTGTCATAAATAGCTCTTATTATTTTGAAATATGTTCTATTAATACCTAGTTTATTGAGAGTTTTTATCATGAAGGAATGTTGAATTTTATCAAAGGCCTTTTCTGCATCTGTTGAAATAATCATGTGGTTTTAGTCATTGGTTCATTTATTTGATGGATTATGTTTGTTGATTTGTGTATGTTGAACCAGCCTTGCATCCCAGGGATGAAGCCGACTTGATTGTGGTGGATAGACTTTTTGATGTCCTGCTAGGTTTGGTTTGCCAGTATTTTTTTGAGGATCTTTGCATTGATGTTCATCAGAGATAGTGGCCTGAAGTTTTCTTTTTTTGTTGTGCCTCTGCCAGGCTTTGGTATCAGGATGATGTTGGCCTCATAAAATGAGTTAGGGAGGAGTCCCTCCTTTACAATTGTTTGGAATGGTTTCAGAAGGAATGGTACCAGCTCCTCTTTGTAACTCTGGTAGAATTCAGTTTTGAATTTATCTGGTCCTGGGCTTTTTTTTGGTTGGTAGGCTATTAATTACTGCCTCAATTTCAGAACTTGTTATTGGTTTATTCAGGGATTCTACTTCTTCCTGGTTTAGTCTTGGGAGGGTGTATGTGTCCAGGAATTTATCCATTTCTTCTCGGTTTGCTAGTTTATTTGCATAGAAGTATTTATAGTATTCTCTGATGGTAGTTTGTATTGCTTTGTGGTCGGGGTGATATCCTCTTTATCATTTTTTATTGTGTCTATTTGATACTTTTCTTCTTTATTAGTCTAGCTAGTGGTCTGTCTATTTTGTTAATTTTTTTTTTTGAAAAACTAGCTCCTGGATTCATTGATGTTTTGGAGGGATTGTTGTGTCTCTATCTCCTTCAGTTCTGCTCTGATCTTAATTATTTCTTGTCTTCTGCTAGCTTTTGGATTTGTTTACTCTTGCTTCTGTGCCTCTTTTTATTGCAATGTTAGGGTGTTGATTTGAGATCTTTCTAACTTTCTGATGTGGGCATTTAGTGCTATAAATTACCCTCTTAACACTGCTTTAGCTGTGTCCAAGAGATTCTGGTATGTTGTCTCTTTGTTCTCACTGGTTTCAAAGAACTTCTTGATTGCTGCCTTGATTTCATTATTTTCCCAGGAGTCATTCAGGAGCAGTTTGTTCAGTTTTCATGTAGTTGTGCAGTTTTGAGTGAGTTTCTTAATCCTGAGTTTTAATTTGATTGCACGGTGGTCTGAGAGACTGTTATGATTTCAGTTCTTTTGCATTTGCTGAGGAGTGTTTTACTTCGAATCATGTGGTTGATTTTAGAATAAGTGCCATGTGGCACTGAGAAGAATGTATACTCTGTTGATTTTTGGTGGAGAGTTCTGTAGATGTCCACTCAATCCAGGGCTGAGTTCAAGTCCTGAATATCCTTGTTAATTTTCTGTCTCATTGATCTGTCTAATATTGACAGTGGGGTGTTAAGGTCTTCCACTATTATTGTGTGTCAGTCCAAGTCTCTTTGTAGTTCTCTAAGTACTTGCTTTATGAATCTGGGTGCTCCTGTATTGGGTGCATATATATTTAGGATAGTTAGCTCTTCTTGTTGCATTGCATCCTTTACTATTATGTAATGCCCTTCTTTGTCTTTCTTGATCTTTTGTGGTTTAAAGTCTGTTTTGTTAGAGACTAGGATGGCAACCCCTGCTTTTTGTTGTTGTTGTTGCTTTCCATTTGCTTGGTAAATTTTCCTCCCTCCCTTTATTTTGAGCCTATGTGTGTCTTTGCATGTGGGATGGGTCTCCTGAATACAGCACACTGATGGGTCTTGACTCTTTATCCAATTTGCCAGTCTGTGTCTTTTAATTGGGGCATTTAGCCCATTTACCTTTAAGGTTAATATTGTTATGGGTGAATTTGATATTGTCAGCATGATGCTAGCTCGTTATTTTGCACACTAATTGATGCGGTTTCTTCATAGTGTCATTGGTCTTTATATTTTGGTTTGTTTTTTCAGTGGCTGGTACTGATTTTTCCTTTCCATATTTAGTGCTTCCTACAGGAGCTCTTGCAAGGTAGGCCTAGTGATGATGAAATCCTTCAGTATTTGCTTGTCTGGAACAGATTTTATTTCTCCTTTGCCTATGAAGCTTAGTTTGGCTGGATATGAAATTCTGGGTTGAAAATGCTTTTTTTTAAGAATGTTGAATATTGGCCCCCACTCTCTTCTGGCCTGTAGGGTTTCTGCTGAGAGTCTGCTGTTAGTATGATGGGCTTCCCTTTGTAGGTGACTTGGCCTTTCTCTCTGGCTGCCCTTAACATTTTTTCCTTCATTTCTACCTTGGAGAATCTAATGATTATGTGTTCTGGGGTTGATCTTCTCATGGAGTATCTTAGTGGTGTTCTCTGTATTTCCTGAATTTGAATGCTGCCCTGCCTTTCTAGGTTGGGGAAGTTCTCCTGGATAATAACCCGAAGTGTGTTTTCTAACTTGGTTTCATTCTCCCCGTCTCTTTCAGGTACTCCAATCAATCGTAGGTTTGGTGTTTTTACATTGCCCCGTATTTCTCAGAGGTTTTGTTCGTTCCATTTCTTTATTTATTTTCTAATCTTCTCTGCATATCTTATATCAGCAAGATCATCTTCAACCTCTGATATCCTTTCTTCTGCTTCATTGATTCAGCTATCAATACTTGTGTATGCTTCACGAAGTTCTTGTGCTGTGTTTTTCAACTCCATCAGGTCATTTATGTTTCTCTCTGTACTGGTTATTCTAGTTAGCAGCTCCTGTAACCTTTTATGAAGGTTCTTAGCTTCTTTGCACTGGGTTAGAAAATGCTCCTTTAGCTCAGTGCCTTCTGAAGTATACTTCTGTCAGTTTGTCCATCTCATCCTCCAATCAGTTCTGTGCCCTTGCTGGAAAGGCGTTGGGATCATTTGGAGAAGAGGTACACTGGCCTTTTGGGTTTTCAGAATTTTTTCATTGATTCTTTCTCATCTTCATGAGTTTGTCCAGTTTTGATCTTTGAGGCTGCTGACCCTTGGATGGGGTTTTGTTGATGCTGTTGTTGTTGCTTTCTGTTTGTTTGTTTTTCTTTCAATGGTTAGGTCCCTCTTCTGTAGGGAAGTTGGGGTTTTCTGGGGGTTCACTTCAGGCCCTATTCATCTGGTTCACTCCTGTGCCTGGAGATGTCACTCGAGGAGGCTGGAGAACAGCAAAGATGGGTGCATGCTCCTCCCTCTGGGATCTCTGACCCTAAGGGGCACTGACCTGGTGCCAGTATGTACCCTCCTGAATACGGTGTCTGACAACCCCTTCTGGAGGGTCTCACCCAGTTGGGTGGCATGGGGAGCAGGACCCGTTTAACAAAGCACTTTGACTGTTTCTTGGTGGAGGGAGTGTGTTTTATTGGGGGGAATCCCACCTATCTGGGCTGCCCAGATTTCTCAGAACTAGCAGGAGGAAAGACTATGTCTGCTGGTCCACAGAGACTGAGGCCACCCCTCCCCCTAGGAACTCAGGCCCAGAGAGATCAGACTTCTGTTCCTGAGTTCCTGGGGCTAGAGTTGGAGTTCCTGCAGGGAGGCCCTGCCCAATGAGGAAGAATGGGTCAGGGTCAGGTCTGAAGAGGTGCTCTGGCCGCAGTCTGCCACAACTGGTGTGTTGGGCTGTGGGGGATACCTCTTGGGACCAAGCCATCCAGCCTCCCTGGCTCCAGCAGGGAAAAAGCATGACCTGGAGCTATAGAGATGGCTGCTGTCCTTCCCTTGCCCTGGGAGCTTAGTGTTAGGCAGCTATTAGTCCCAATGCTGGCTGCCACCCCTCCCACAAGGAGCTCAAATGACTTAGACAGCAGACAGCAGCAGCTGTGATGCTGGCTGCGCTCCCACGGGAAGACTGGCAGGCTTAAGCCATTTTGTGCTGAGTGGCTTTTGAGAATCTATGCAGCTCCGTGGTTGGGGCCTTAGGCCCTGGTGGCATGGGCTCACGAGTGGAATCTTCTGGTTCATGGGTTGCACAGTTCAGTGGAAAAGCACGGTTTCCCAGGCTGGGTAGCACATTCACTCACTGCCTCCCTTGGCTTGGGATTGGGGGCTCCCCTGCCTCATGTGGCTCTTGGGTGGGCCGTCAAACCACACTGTTCTTCCTTCCTCTCCATGGACCACGCCAGCTGCCGAGTCAGTCCTGATGACAGAACCTGGATACCTCACTTGCAGGTTCTGGATTTGCATGCTGTTATGGTTCTTTTCCATGGCAACCTCCAATCTCTGCTGCTTCTAGTTGGCCATCTTGGCCCTGCCCCACTGAGATCTTTTTAAATTGTTGCTGTGGGCGTTTAGTGCTATAAGTTTCCCGCTAAACACTGCCTTAGCTGTGTCCCAGTGATTCTTGAATGTTGTATCTTTTTTCTCATTAGCTTCAAATAACTTGATTTCTGGCTCAATTTCATTATTTACCCGAAAGTTATTCAGGAGCAGGTTATTCAGTTTCCATGTAATCGTATGGTTTTAAGAAAATTTCTTAGACCTGATTCCTGATTTAATTGTGCTATGGTCCAAGAGAGTGGTTATTATAATTTCAGTTCCTTTGCACTTGCCGAAGAGTGTGTCTGATTATGCGGTTGATTTTAGAGTATATGCCATGTGGTGATGAGAAGAATGTATATAATATTGCTTTTGAATGGAACTTTCTGTAGATGTCTATCAGGTCCACTTGATATAGTGTTAAGTTCAGGTCCTGAATATCTTTGCAAATGTTCTGCCTCAATGATGTGTGTAATACTGTTAGTGGGGTCAAGGGGGTCTCCTCCTGCTGGGATTCCAGAGGCTCTTGACAAAAGCAGGTTACTCCTTGACAGTTTAACTCGCCCGTTCTCCTGGGGTCACCGGGGGCCAAGAATGAGTCCTGGTGTGAAGTAGCCCTATGCAGTGTTTCCAGCTTCCTTCCTCTTCAGCCCAGCTTCTGTGACTTTCCTCCATCCACTCTCAGTGTCTTACCACTGAAGATCTGTTAGAAGTGTGCCAGTTGTCTCGATCCCTCAGTGTTAGCTGTTCCACCTGGTTGTGTTTATTGAGCCATCTTACCCTCTAAATCTGATTTATTTCAACACTTAAAAATGTTAAAAAAAAATGTGTAGCTCCTGGAAAGATTGTATGTGTTGTATGTGCCCAGGATTCATAGTTTACTGACTCCGGATTTATAGCATAAAGTTTTTTCTGATACATGTAAGATTATAAACGAAGGTGTAGTGTGCCTAGAACACAGGCAATGAGACTGTTCTTTTTCATTTTCAATGGGCAATGTGTGTGTATGTGTGTGTGTACACATGCAAACACGTACATGGCTCTACAAATAATAATTAGATCACATGGGATCAATGAGAAACATAATAATTAGTATCACATCATAATTAGATACTATATGAAGCATGGCTGTATATTAATACAACTGGTGTTTAACAAACCTATCAGAACATACATATTTAGACAAATGCCATTAATTTCCAGATAGCTGTCCTGAGAGGCTGTATTCATTACTCACAAGTGGGCTACCATTGTTCAGACCACTTTTGGAATATTTAATCAGAAATTGCATTCAAAGATAACTGGTAACAAGGCAGTGGCATTTTTGACTCTATACATCCTGGTCAATTTTTAAAAAACTGTTAACATTACCATTAAAAAATGCTCTACTTAGCAACATACATTAATTATATCTATTTAAGATTTTGCAGATGTTAATATTGATTTTTTGTTCTTATAACTATTTTCTTAAATTATCATTATTTTTTAAAACGAAATATATCTACACAATTTTATTGACATCTATTTGTCTAATGTGCTTGAAAAACAAACTCTAGTATCATTTGTGATTGAGACTCAGCCAATACATAATGGTTTCAGATAATCTTTTTCCAGTCATCTTTATGAGGAACCTCTCATCAGCTATGACAGCAGATAGTAAGAATGAGACAAATAAATGCCAAATACAGTAGCTACTAAAGCATCTAGTTCTCTCAGCCTAACCATTTGGCTGCTTGTTATGGTTGTTGGTATGCAGATATTTCACAAACTAGTAAAGTCTGAATATTTACTATTTTGTGTTAATCACCATGAACAACATTAACAAGACTCAATACAGACATAGCTCATTTTATTGTGCTTCATTTCGTTGTGCTTCATAGATATTGCTTTTTTTTTTTTTAATCTGAAGGTTTATAGCAACCCTACATTAAGCAAATCTACTGGTGCCATTTTTCATTTTTCCAACAGCCAATGCTCACTTTGTGTCTCTATGTCACTTTTTGGTAATTCTTGCAATGTTCAAAACTTTTTTGTTATTATTATCTCTCTCTATATATATATTTGAGACAGAGTCTCACTCTGTCATCCAGGCTGGAGTGCCGTGGCACCATCTTGGCTTCTCAGCTCACTGCAACCTCAACCTCCCAGGTTCAAGCCATTCTCATGTCTCAGCCTCCCAAGTAGCTGGGATTACAAACATGCGCTACGGCAGTCAGCTATTTTTTTTTTTTTATAGAGACAAGGTTTTGCCATGTTGCCCAGTCTGGACTTGAACTCCTGACCTCAAGCGATCTGCCCATCTCAGCCTCCCAAAGTGTTGGGATTACAGGGGTGAGCCACCGTGCCCCACCTACTATTATATCTCTTATGGTAATCTGTGATCAGCGCTCTTTTTCATAATTTTTAATTTTTGTGGGTACATAGTAGGTGTATGTATTTATGGGTTACATTAGATATTTTGATACAGGCATGCAATGTGTAATAGTCACATCAGGTTAAATGGAGTATCCATCACTTCAAGCATTTATATTTTGTGTTACAAACAATCTAGTTACACTTTTTGTTATTTTAAAATGTACAATTTAATTATTTTTGGCTATAGATGTTACTATTATAATTATTTGGGAATCCACAAACCTTGCTCATATAAAATGAAAAACTTAATTGATGAATGTCCTGTCTGTTCTGACTGCGACGTGAACTGGCCCTTTCCATGTATCTCTCCTTCTCCTTCAGCCTACCTATTTTCTGAGATACAACACTCCTTAAAGTAGGCCAGTTAATGACGCTAAAATGGCCTCTAAGTGTTCAAATGAAAGGAAAAGTCACATGTCTCTCATTTAAATTAGAAGCTAAAAATGATTAAGTTTATTGAGGAAAGCATACCAAAAGCCAAGATAGGCAGAAAACTAGGCTTCTTGTGCCAAAAAGTTAGCCACGTTGTTAATGCAAAGGAAAAGTTCTTGAAGAAAATTGAAAGTGCTACTCCAGTGAACACAAAAATGATAGAAAGTGAAACTGCCTTATGGCCAATATGGAGAAAGTTTCAGTGGTCTAGATAGAAGATCAAACCATCCGCAACATTCCCTTCAGCCAAAGCTTAATCCAGAAAAAGTTCCTAACACTCTTCAATTCTACGAAGGCTGAAAGAGGCGAGAAAGCTACAGGAAAAAAAAAAATGAAGTTAGCAGAGGTTGGTCATGAGGTTTAAGGAAAGAAGCCATCTCCATAATATAAAAGTGCAGCAGGTGCTTATAAAGAAGCTGCAGCAAGTTATCCGGAAGATCTAGCTAAGATAATTAATGAAGGTGGCTACACTGAACAACAGATTTTCAGTGTAGATGAAGCAGCCTTATATAGGAAGAAGATGCTATATAGGAATTTCATGGCTACAGAGAAGTCAATACCTGGCTTTAAAGCTTCAAAGTACATATTGACTCTCTTGTTAGGGCCTAATGCAGCTGGTGACTTTAAATTGAAGCCAATGATCATTTACTATTCTGAAAATGCTAGGGCCCTTAAGGATGATGCTAAATCTACTCTGCCTGTGCTCTACACATGGAACAACAAAGCCTGGATGACAGCACATCTGTTTACAGCATGGTGTATTAAATATTTTAAGCTGACCGTTGATCCCTAATGCTAAAAAAAAGATTAATTTCAAAATATTTGCTTATTGACAATGCAACTGGTCGCCCAACACTTCTGAAAAAGATATAAAAGGAAATTAATGTTGTTTTCATGACTGCTAACAAAACATTCATCCTGCAGTCCATGAATCAGGAGTAATTTCAACTCTCAAGTATTATCATTTAAGAACTACATTTCATAAGGTTATAGCTGCCATAGTTAGTGATTTGTCTGATGAATCTGAGAAACGCAAATGGAAATGGTTCTGAAAAAGATTCATCATTCTAAATCCCATGAAGAACATTCATGATTCATGGGAGGAGGTCAAAATATCAATATTGACAAGAACTTGGAAGAAGGTGATTCCCCCGCTCATGGATGACTTTGAGGGGTTCAAGACTTCATTGAAGGAAGCCACTGTAGATGTTATGGAAGTAGCAAAAGAACTAGACTTACAAGTGGAGCTTGAGGATGTGACTGAATTGTTGCAATATCATGATAAAACTTGAATGGATACAAAGTTGCTTCTTATGAATGATAAAAAAGTGGTTTCTTGAGATAAAATCTACTTCTGGTGAAGATGCGGTGAACATTGTTGAATTGACAACAAAAGATTTAGAATATTACATAAACTTACTTGATAAGGCAGTGGCAGGGCATAAAAGGATTGACTGAAATCTTGAAAGAAGTTTTGCTGTGGGTAACACGCTATCAAACAGCATTGCATGCTACAGAGTATTTTTGTCAGGAAAGGAAGAGCCAATCAATGTAGCAAACTTTACTGTGATCTTCTTTTAAGAAATTGTCACAACTACTCCAAACTTCAGCATCCACCACCCCATTAGCCATACCCCATTGCCAACATCAAGGCAAGACCCTTCACCAGCAAAAAGATTTCAATGGAATTTCATATCTCACAGTGTCCTGTAAATAAAGATTAAAGTCCACCATTTTCTTTCTTTAAAAAAAAAGATTTCAAAGCAATGAAGCCTCAGATGAGTGTTAGCATTTTTAGCAATAAAATATTTTGAAATTAAGATACGCACATTATTTTATTTTATATCTTTTTTTGCAGCATGACATGTTTCATTTATTTATTTTTATTATACTTTAAGTTTTAGGGTACATGTGCACAACATGCAGGTTTGTTCCATATGTAAACATGTGCCATGTTGGTGTGCTGCACCTATTAACTCGTCATTTAACATTAGGTATATCTCCTAATGCTATCCATCCCCACTCCCCCCACCCCACAACAGGCCCTGGTGTGTGATGTTCCACTTCCTGTGCCCATGTGTTCTCATTGTTCAATTCCCACCTATGAGTGAGAACATGCGGTGTTTGGTTTTTTCTCCTTGCGATAGTTTGCTGAGATTGATGGTTTCCAGCTTCAACCATGTCCCTACAAAGGACATAAGCTCATCATTTTTTATGGCTGCATAGTATTCCATGGTGTATATGTGCCACATTTTCTTAATCCAGTCTATCATTGTTGAACATTTGGCTTTGTTCCAAGTCTTTGCTATTGTGAATAGTGCCGCAATAAACATACGTGTGCATGTGTCTTTATAGCAGCATGATTTGTAGCCCTTTGGGTATATACCCAGTAATGGGATGGCTGGGTCAAATGATATTTCTAGTTCTAGATCCCTGAGGAATCGCCACACTGACTTCCACAATGGTTGAACTAGTTTACAGTCCCACCAACAGTGTAAAAGTGTTCCTATTTCTCCACATCCTCTCCAGCACCTGTTGTTTCCTGACTTTTTAATGATTGCCATTCTAACTGGTGTGAGATGGTATCTCATTGTCATTTTGACTTGCATTTCTCTGATGGCCAGTGATGATGAGCATTTTTTCATGTGTCTGTTGGCTGCATAAATGTCTTCTTTTGAGAAGTGTCTGTTCATATCCTTCACCCACTTGTTGATGGGGTTGTTTGTTTTTTTTCTTGTAAATTTGTTTGAGTTATTTGTAGATTCTGGAGATTAGCCCTTTGTCAGATGAGTAGATTGCAAAAATTTTCTCCCATTCTGTAGGCTGCCTGTTCACTCTGATGGTAGTTTCTTTTGCTGTGCAGAAGTTCTTCAGTTTAATTAGATCCCATATGTCAATTTTGGCTTTTGTTGCCATTGCTTTTGGTGTTTTAGACATGAAGTCCTTGCCCATGCCTATGTCCTGAATGGTATTGCCTAGGTTTTCTTCTAGGTTTTTTATGGTTTTAGGTCTAACATTTAAGTCTTTAATCCATCTTGAATTCATTTTTGTATAAGGTGTAAGGAAGGGATCCAGTTTCAGCTTTCTACGTATGGCTAGCCAGTTTTCCCAGCACCATTTATTAAATAGGGAATCCTTTCCCCATTTCTTGTTTTTGTCAGGTTTGTCAAAGATCAGATGGTTGTAGATGTGTGGCGTTATTTCTGAGGGCTCTGTTCTGTTCCATGGGTCTATATCTCTGTTTTGGTACCAATACCATGCTGTTTTGGTTACTGTAGCCTTGTAGTATAGTTTGAAGTCAGGTGGTGTGATGCCTCCAGCTTTGTTCTTTTGGCTGAGGATTGACTTGTCAATGCAGGCTCTTTTTTGGTTCCAAATGAACTTTAAAGTAGTTTTTTCCAATTCTGTGAAGAAAGTCATTGGTAGCTTGATGGGGATGGCATTGAATCTATAAATTACCTTGGGCAGTATGGCCATTTTCATGATATTGATTCTTCCTACCCATGAACATGGAATGTTCTTCCATTTGTTTGTATCCTCTTTTATTTCATTGAGCAGTGGTTTGTAGTTCTCTTCGAAGAGGTCCTTCACATCCCTTGTAAGTTGGATTCCTAGGTATTTTATTCTCTTTGAAGCAATTGTGAATGTGAGTTCACTCATGATTTGGCTCTCTGTTTGTCTGTTATTGGTGTATAAGAATGCTTGTGATTTTTGCACATTGATTTTGTATCCCGAGACTTTGCTGAAGTTGCCTTATCAGCTTAAGGAGATTTTGGGCTGAGACGATGGGGTATTCTAGATACACAGTCATGTCATCTGCAAACAGGGACAATTTGACTTCCTCTTTTCCTAATTGAATACCCTTTATTTCCTTCTCCTGCCTGATTGCCTTGGCCAGAACTTCCAACACTATGTTGAAAAGGAGTGGTGAGAGAGGGCATCCCTGTCTTGTGCCAGTTTTCAAAGGGAATGCTTCCAGTTTTTGCCCATTCAGTATGATATTGGCTGACGCACATTATTTTATTAGACATTAATGCTATTGCACACTTAATAAGCTACAGTATAGCATAAACATAACTTTTTTATGTTTATACTAAAAAATTTCCATGACTCACTTTTTTGAATATTCGTTTTATTGCAGTGGTCTGAAATCAAACCCACAATATCTCTGGAGCATGCTTCCATAGTATTTTTACAAAATCCAAAAGACTTTTGTCCAATAGAATTATGGACATGTACCAGGTCTACCTTTGCACACCCACAAGTCATTTTAGGCGGAGATTTTATAATGTGAGGCACATACTACTTTAACTACTTGTTTAACACTGATTGTACTTAGATCTGTTCAAATATATTTATATTTGTATACATTTATACTTGCAAGAAGAACAAACTTGCGAAAAGTACTTTTAAAGTCCTCTTTCGAATTATTTATAAACATTTTGTACAAATTCAGTTCTCTACATTTTTAAGGGAAAAAAGTCCTCTTACAGAAGCCAATTACAAAGAGAATATGGTTCCTAAAGCAGCACAGATGTTGAGAATAATTTTACGTATGGGATAACTTCTCTTTGCCCATTTAAGGAAACATCATATATTCACAGCTGGAATTTATCTAGTAAGAGGTCTTCTAGGGTAAAACCAGCTGCCATTTTACTATCTCCCTAAGATAAGCCCCTCAGCAGCACATCAAAACATTACTACATTAAACAAAAAAAAAACCACATGGTCTTTATGAACACACATCTGTTCTATGTATTCACCACCACTTCATTATTTTCATATAACCTGAAGAATCAAGTTGTGTCTAATGTTTTTAAAGTACAAAGGATATATGCTAGATTTGCCTATTAGGTTGCTGTAATGGCCCCATATGTCAAGATTGACTTTTGAAAAAACTATCACATAAAACAAGAATTGCCTCTTAGATATTAGAAGATTCATTAGACTAAGTTAAAAATATATAAAAAACTACTACATGGGGAAAGAAGGCCTAGATTCTGAGACTGGCTCTAACACTGAAACAAAATTTTGGATTTTTGGCAAGTCACTATTCTCCAGATTTTAGTGGCTTCCTCTATAAGACTCTGGTTTCCACTAAATGATTTTCAGGATCTCTTGTAATGCTGATTCTAAAACCTAAGTATCAATGTTCTTGCTGTTTTTATCAACAATTCTGTCTTCTATCAATCTGTATATCTACCTAATTTGACTTATAGAGCAAGGCATCAGGGTGGGAAAATGGGAAATGACATCCACTAAGAAGATATGTTTTTGGTGTTTGCTCTTCCTTCAAATTTGTAAAATCGTTCAAGGCCATAAACATTCTTTTCTATACTTCTTGTATTATATTCACCACTTGAAATAAGCAAGTTGGTCAAGCAACAAATTTAGAACGCATTTTCTTTCAGGAATATTTGCCTCATCAAAATTGAAACACATTTTACATTGAATTAAGTGATATGCTATGAAACTGGGGCACTTGGATAAAAATAGTGACTTTTTGGAATGGCTATTATTAAAAAGTCAAAAAATATCACGTTGGTGAGGTTGCAGAAAACAGGGAATGCTTATAGGCTGTTGGTGGAAATGTCAATTAGTTTAGCCACTGGGGAAAGCAATGGAAATTACTCAAAGAGCTTAAAACAGAAATACCATTCAATCCAGCAATCCTATTCCTGGTTATATACCCAAAGAAATATAAATTGTTCTGCCATAAAGACGCATTCATGTGTATGTTCATTACAGCACTATTCCCAATAGCAAAAACATGGAATCAACCTAGATACCCATTGGCTGTGGACTGAATAAAGAAAATGTGGTGTATATACACCATGGAATACTACATAGCCATAAAAAGAATAAAATCATTCCGCTTGCAGTAACATGGATGTGGCTGTAGGCCATTATCCTAAGTGAATTAGCACAGGAACAGGAATCCAAATATCTCATGTTCTCACTTATAAGTAGGAGCTAAACATTGAGTACATGTGGACACAAAGATGAGAACAATAGATTCTGGGTATTACTACAGTGGGGAGGGTAGGAGGAGAGTGAGCACTGAAATACTATCAGGTACTGTGCTCACTACTTGGGTGACGGGATCATTTGTACACCAAACCCAAGTGACAAACAATTTACCCATATAAGAGACCTGCACATGTATCCCCTGAACCTAAAAGTCAGAAAAAAAAATAGTGATTGTGGCTTTTTCACTAGCTTATGATTTATCTAGTATTCATCTAAAAAACAGAGACAATATCTATGCATATCCATCTTATAGAATTATTTAATCAAATATTTTGAATATATAAGATCAAAGTGTTCTGTACACATGGAAAACTGTGTGGATTATGAATTAATGAGGTAATGAAAGAACTCTCTGAGGGGGTAAAACAGTACCTACGTACCGGTCATTGTGATGAATTTATAATAATTCTAGGTAGAAAAGTCATATTATTGGCTATGTCTGTAAGCACATGATAAGTAAGAAGAAAAATGAGAGATGTAATCACTAAAGATATTTTAATGATCATCCCAGATGACAAGAATGATGACAAATTTCTGTAATTGGCTTCACTGTTCAAAATATGAAGGTCCATTTACATTTGGGGTATAAGGCAACTTAGATGCTATCTATTTTAAATGACAGTTGATCATTTGCAAAAATATTTCTTTTTCTTTGCATTGTTCCTTACAAGTAGGTATTTGCTTATTTTGATGAAAGAGAATATTATTTTTTAATCACCTGAGAATCATATTCCTATCATATTCATTTTTCCATGTGCACAGAACAGTTTGGTTACATATAATCAAAGGATTTGTTAAAATAATTATATAAAGTTGATTTGTAGAGATATTGTCTCTGTTTTTTAGATAAATACTAGAGAAGTCATAAGTTAGTGAAAATGCAACAGGCCAGGCGAGGTGGCACACACCTGTAATCCCAGCCCTTTGGGAGGCCGAGGCAGGCAGATCATTTGAGGTCAGGAGTTCCAGCCCAGCCTGACCAGCATGGTGAAACCCCGTCTGTACTAAAAATACAAAAAAATTAGCCGGGCATGGTGGTGCATACCTATAATCCCAGCTACTTGGGAGGCTGAGGGAGGAGAATCACTTGAACCCAGGAGGCGGAGGTTGCAGTGAGCCAAGATCGCACCACTGCACTGCAGCCTGGGAGAGAGAGATGACTCCGTCTCAAAAAAAAAAAAAAAAAAAAAGGCAACAGTCACTGTTTTTTATCAAGGGGCCTGGGTTTCATAGCATATCAGTTAATTCAATATAAAATGTGCTTCAATCTTGAGAAGGCAAATCTTTCTGAAAGCAATTCTTTCCTGAAAAATTTCAAGATATTGGTATGCTTAAAACAATAAAATGATTGTGAAGTTATTTTCATTGCATTGTAATTTACATTTTATTTGTAATACAGCATGATAATGGCATTGCCTTAGTATGTCATATGTAAGAAGCCACATACTTTTTATTATTTTCAAGGTTTCCTTAACACTGTTCTCATTCTATGCCATTTTGTTGCTGATTAATATATTTAAGCTTTAGGATAGACTATCTTGTTAAAAACTTAAAGTTCAAAAACATAAAATTATGCTCTTGATAATTTTAGAACTTGACCACAAAATACCCTGAAAATTATAGCAAACCACAGCTCTATTTTAATATTTCTATTATTCTTACCTGGAAGCTAGGGAAATTGAGCTAGAATACATCTTTTGAAAGGAAATGCAATCATAACAATGTCCAATCTTAATAATGGGAATAAACTTAGATATTTCAAATATAGTTACTAAAAAGGAGCACATAAAATTTTGCTGATTTTCTTAAAAACACAGCTATTGCAATTGTATTCACATTTGGCTAAAAGTGCTATTTCTGTAAAATAAAGTATTTGTGGGATGAGTTTGCTCGTTTTATTTTGAGTTTGTTTGTTCCGATTTCTTTATCAGTGCCTAAGCATCAAAGGTTACCTATAAAGTGGAGTAACAAGCATTTTGCTCAAGTTCACCTGATATCTAAAGAAAACATATTGGCATCCCTTCACCAGTAAGTGTATCTTTACTTTTGATCAGTACAATAGTTTGTGTCACTCATAAGTAATAATGAAAACTTATTTCATTAAGAAAGATAAAATAAGAAAAATTAACATATTAATTTGGAAAGAGCAGGAAATATACAAGGGAGACAGGGCAAGATGACAGAATAGAAAGCTCTACCTATAGTTGCCCCCCAGCAAGGACACCAAGTTAACAACTATCTATACAGGAAAAAAAAAAAAAACTTTCATAAGAAACAAAAATCAGGCGAGCACTCATAGTACCTAGTTTTAACTTCATATGTCCTAAAGTTGCACTGAAGAAATAAACCCTGTAGAATTACCGATGCTACCACTCCCCCACCTCGGCATGGTGCAGAGAGCTTCTCTGGACACCGAAGGAGAGAAAACACAGCAATCGTGAGGCGCTGAAATAAGTGCTGTCCTGTTAAAGCAGAAAGCAAAACCAGAGCAAATTCAGCTGACCCCCGCCCACAGGAAGAGCATTTAAATCAGCCCTAGCCAGAGAAGGATCCCTTGAAACCAGAGGTCCATACCTGAGTGTCTGCAAACCTCACCATCAAAGGCTACCACACTCTGTCTCAAAGTAAACTTGAAAGGCTGTCTAGGCCATAAGAATTGCAACGTGTATGTGAGTCCTAGTGCTGAACTAGGCCCAGAGACAGAAAACTGAAGAAACCTGGCATACTGAGGCACCAGCCGGAGAAGTCAAGGGAGTGTTGGAATCATCCCTACCCTAACCCCAGGCTGCACAGCTTTCAGCACTGAAAGACACCCCTTTCTTCCACTTGAAGAGAGGAGAAGGAAGGGTGGGAAGGACTTTGTCTTTCATCTAGGATACCACCTGCACCACAGCAGGATAAGGCACTGGTCAGAGTCATGAGGCCCCCCATTCCAGGCTTTAGCTTCCAGATGACATTTCTAGACACACCCTGGGCCAGAAGGGAACCTGCTGCCTTGAAGGAAAGGACCCATTCCTGCCAGCTTTTATCGTCTGCTAACTGAAGAGCCCTTCGGCCCTGCATAACCAGCAGCAATACCCAGGTACTACATTGAGGGTCTTGGTCATTCTCTGAGATGGGCTGGCTCCAGGTGAGGCTCAGTGCATTAACAGATATGGTGGCTCCGGGGCAAAACTCCTGCTTGAGAAAAGCAGACAGAAAAGTAAATGGGACTTTGTCTTGCATCTGAGGTACCAGCACAACCAAAAGCTGTGGGATTTCAGCAATATCAGGCCACAGGGGTGGAGGTCAGTAGACCACCAAGTGAGCTCCTGGGGTCTGTGATTACAGGACTTGACCCTTAGGTGGCATTTCTGGACCTGACCTGAGTCAGAGGAGAGGCCATTGCCCTGAAGGGTGAGTCCCAGGGCAGGCAGCATTCACAATAAGTTGACTTAAGAGACCTTGGGTCATAAGGGAGTATTGGTGGTAGTCTGGCAGTATACCTCATGGCCTGAGGTGGTGGTGGCTATGGCGAGAGGCTCCTCTGCCTTTGGAAAGAGGGGGGAAGAGTGGGAAGAACTGTGTCTTGTGGTTTGAATATCAGCTCAGATGAATACATTAAAACATTAGGTAGATTTCTAAGGTTTTTGATGCTAGTCCCTGACTACCAAACAGTTCTTCTGGACGCACATAGGGTCTGGGGGACCTCACTGCCATGAAGGGAAGAGCATAGGCTTGGCTGGCTTTGCCACATGCTGATTGTAGAGCACCAGGGCCTTGAGCAAACATGGGAAGTAGCCAGGGAGTAGTAACAGTGGGTCTTGAATGAGACCCAGCACTGTGCTGGCTTCAGGTGTGACCCAGCAGGGTCATAGTGGTGGTGACCACAGGGGTGCTTATTGTCACTCCAGCTCCAGCTTTACATGGGTTAGAAAAGATAGAGAGGGACTCTGTTTGTTTGGGGGAATGTAAGAGAAGAGAACAAGAGTCTCTGCCTGATAATCCAGAGAAATCTCCTGGATCTTGTTTAATACCATAAAGGCAGCACCACTATGCGTCTGCAAGAACCACAGCATTAATGGGATTGGAGTGCCCCCTAAAGAAGATACTGCTTAGATCACAACACTCACATCCTTTCAAACATCTGGAAAGCCTTCCAAAGAAGAGTGGCTACAGATAAGACAGTGAAGACTACAATACATATCTAGCTCTTCAATGCCCAGACACTGAAGAATATCTACTAGCATCACCACCATCCAGAAAAACATGACCTCACCAAATGAACTCAATAAGAACTAGGGACCAGTCCTGGAGGAACAGGGGTATGTGACCTTGCAGACAGATAATTCAAAATAGCTGTGTTGAGGAAACTCAAAAAAAGGTCAAGATAACACAGAGAAGGAATTTAGAATTCTATCTGATAAACTGAACAAAGAGATTAAAATAATTATGAATAATAATGCAGAAATTCTGAAGCTGAACAATGCAATTGGCTTACTGAATAATGCATCATCATCCTTTAATTAGCAGAATTGATCAAGCAGAAGAAAGAATTACTGAGCTTGAAGACAGGCTATTTGAAAATACACAGAAGAGTCAAAAGAAAAAAGAATAAAAAAAATGAAGCACACCTATAGGATCAAGAAAATAGCCTCAAAAGGACAAATTTAAGAGTTATTAGCCTTGAAGGAAGTAGAGAAAGAGATAGGAGTAGAAAGATAATTCAAAGGGATAATAACAGAAAACTTCTCAAACCTAGAGAAAGACATCAATATCCAAGTATAAGAAAGAAATCGAACATAAAGCAGATTCAACCTGGAGAAGGTTACCTCAAGCCATTTAATAATCATACTCTCAAAGGTTAACAGTTAAGAAAGGATTCTAAAAGCAGCAAGAGAAAAGCAACACATGTCATACACTGGAGCTCCAATATATCTGGCAGTTGACTTTTCAGTGGAAACCTTACAGGCAAGGGGAGAGTGGCATGACATATTTAAAGTGCTGAAGGAAAAACAACTTTTACCCTAGAATAGTATATCCAGCTAAAATATTCATCAAACATGCAAGAGAAATGAAGACTTTCTCAGACAAACAAAAGCAGTGGCATTTCAGCAATATCAGACCAGGCCTACAGGAAATGCTATAGGGAGTACTTCAATTAGAAAGAAAAGGACATTAATAAGCAATAAATAATCACCTGAAAATACAAAACCTAATGATAATAGTAAGTACACAGAAAAATACAGAATATTATAAAACTAACTGTGGCATGTAAACTACTATTATCTTAAGCAGAAAAGCAAAAAGATGAACCCATCAAAAATAATAACTACAACAACTTTTCAAGACAGAGTCAGTACAATAAGATATAAATAGAAACAACAAAAAGGTTAAAAGTGGGGGAGCAAAGTTGAGGCATAGAGTTTTTATTTGTTTTCTTTCTTTTTGCTTGTTATACAAAGAGTATTAAGTTGTTATCATATTAAAATAAGGGGATATAAGTTAGTATTTGCAAGCCTCACGGTAACCTCCAAACCAAAAAGCATATAATGGATACATAAAAAATAAAAAGAAAGAAACTTAATCATATCACCAGAGAAAATAACCTTCACTAGAGGAAGACAGGAAGGAAAGAAAAAAGAAAGAGAAGATCATAAACAACCAGAAAATAAATAAGAAAATGGCAAGAGTAGGTCCTTACTTATCAATAGTAACATTAAATGTAAATAGACTGAATTCTCCAATCGAAAGACATAAACCAGCTGCATGGATAAAGAAGCAAGACCCACTGATCTGTTGCTTACAAGAAACACTTCACCTAAAAAGGCACACATAGGCCAGGCGCAGTGGCTCACGCCTGTAATCCCAGCACTTTAGGAGGCTGAGACAGGAGGATCACGAGGTCAGGAGATCGAGACCATCCTGGCTAACATGGTGAAACCCGTCTCTACTAAAAATACAAAAAATTAGCCGGGCGCGGTGGCGGGTGCCCGTAGTCCCAGCTACTTGGGAGGCTGAGGCAGGAGAATGGCGTGAACCTGGGAGGCGGAGCTTGCAGTGAGCCAAGCTTGGGCCACTGTATTCCAGCCTGGGTGACAGAGCGAGACTCCATCTCAAAAAAAAAAAAAAAAAAAAAAAAAGGCACACATAGACTGAAAATTAAAGGATGGAAAAATATTTCAGGACAATGGAAACCCAAAATGAGCAAGGGTCACTATATTTGTATCAGACAAATTAGATTTCAAGACAAAAACTATGAGAAGAGACAAAGAAGTTCACTATATAATGATAATGGGGTCAATTTCACAAAAGAATATAAGAATTTTAAATATATATGTACACTGGAGCACCTGGATATATAAAGCAAATATTATTAGAGCTAAAGAGAGGGATAGTTCCCAATACAATAATAACTGGAGACTTCACCACCAGACCTTCAGCATTGGACAGATCTTCCATAAGGAAAATCAACAATGAAACATCATATTTAGTCTGGACTATTATAGACCAAATGGACCTAATAGATATTTACAGAACATTTCATCTAACGACTATATAATATACATTCTTTTCCTTAGCACATGGATCATTCTCAAGGATAGATAATATGTTAGGTCACAAAATATGTCTTAAGACATTCAAAAAAATTAAAATAATATCTGGCATTTTCTCTGACCACAGTGAAATACAACTAGAAATAAATAACAAGAACTTTGAAACCTATATAAATAAATGGAAATTAAACAATATGCTGCTGAATGACCAGTTGGTCAATGACGAAATTAAGAATGAATTCAAAAATTTCTTGAAACAAATCATAATGGAAACACAACATACCAAAACCTATGGAATACAGCAAAAGCAGTATCAAGGGGAAAGTTTATGGCTATAAATGCCTACATCCAAAAAGAGGAAAATCTTCAGATGAATAATGTAATAATCCATCTTAAAGAACTAGAAAAGTAAGAGCAAATCAAACCAAAGTTAGTAGAAGAAAAGAGATAATAAATATCAGAGCACAAATAAATGAAATTAAGATAAAAATACAATACAAAGATAGGTTAAAAAAATGCTGGTTTTTTAAAAGTTAGACAAAATTGAGAACCTTTATTCAGACTAAGAAAAAAAGAGAGAAGATCCAAATAAATAAAATCAGAAATGAAAAGGGAGGCATTATAATTGATACTGCAGAAATTCAAAGGATCGTTAGTGACTACTATGAGCAACTCTAAGCTAATAATTTGGAAAATGTAGAAGAAATGGACAAATTCATGTATACATACAACCTAGCAAGATTGAACCAAGAAGAAATCCAAAATCTGAACAGATCAATAGCAAGTAATGAGATTGAAGCCATAATAAAAACTCTCCCATCAAAAAAAAAGAAAAAAAAAAAAAGCCTGGGACCCCATGACTAAACTGCTGAATGCAACCAAACATTTAAGTGATTAATGCCAATCCTATTCAAACTATTTCAATAAATAGAGGGGGAGGGAGTAATGCCAAATTCATTCTATGAGTCCAGTATTACCCTGATACCAAAACCAGACTGACACAATAAAAAGATAAAACTACAGGCCAATATCTCTGATGAGTATTGATGCAAAAATCCTCAACAAAATACTAGCAAGCTAAAATCAACAATACATTCGAAAGATCATTCATCATTACCAAGTGAGATTTATCTTTGGGATGCAAAGATGGTTCAATATAAACAAATCAATGTGATATATCAAGAGAATGAAGGATAAAAACTGTATGATCATTTCAATTGATCCTGAAAAACCATTTGATAGAATTCAACATCCTTTCATGATAAAAACCCTAAAAAACCTGGGAATAGACGGAACATTCCTCAACATAATCAAAGCCATATATGAAAGACTAATACATAGTATCACAGTGAATGGTGAAAAACTGAAAGCCTTTCCTCTAACATCTGGAACATGACAGGAATGCCCACTGCCACTACTGTTATTCAACATAGCACTGGAAGTTCCAGCTGGAGCAATGAGCCATAAGAAAAATATAAAAGAATCCAAATTAGGAAGGAAGAAGTCAAATTATTCTTGTATGAATATGATATAATCTTATATTTGAAAAAACCTAACAACTCCACAAGAAAACTATTAGAAGTGATAAAAATATTCAGTAAAGTTGCAGGATACAAAATCAACATACAAAAATTAGTAGCAATTCTATATACCAACAGTGACCAATGTAAAAAGAAAATAAAATTAGTCCTATTTACAATAGCCACACATAAAATTAATTACCTAGTAATTAACCAAAGAAGTGAGAGGCCTCTATGATAAAACTATGAAACATCGATGAAATAAATTGAAGAGTGCACCAATAAATGGAAAAAAAATTCCATTTTCATGGATTGGAAGAATGAATGTTGTTAAAATGTCCATACTACCCTAAGCTATCTACACATTTAATGCAATCCTATCAAAATACCAATGACATTCTTCACAGATTTAGAAAAAAAAATCCTAAAATTAATATGAAACCACAAAAGACCCAGAATAGCCAAAGCTATTCTAAGCGAAAGAACAAAACTTGAGGAATCACATAACATGTCCTCAAATAATACTACAAAGCTATAGTAACCAAAACAGCTGGAACTTGCATGAAAACAGACACATAGATCAATGGAACAGAATAGAGAACGCAGAAAGAAATCCACACCCCAAGAGTGAATTCATTTTTGACAAAGGTTCCAAGAACATATCATGGGGAAAGGCCAGTTTCTTCAATAAATGGTGCTGGGAAAACTGGATCCCTATATTCAGAAGAATGAAACTAAACCTCTATCTCTTGCCATATACCAAAATCAAATGAAAATGGATTAAAGACTTAACTCTAAGACCCCAAAGTCAAAGGCTATTACAAGAAAACACTGAAAAAATCTCCAGGATATTGGTCTGGGCAAAGAATTCTTGAGCAATAGACAATAAGAGCAGGCAACCAAAGAAAAAAATGGACAAGTGGGATAACATCAAGTTAAGAAGTTTCTGCACAACAAAAGATACAATAAAAAAAGTGAAGCAATAACTTACAGAATGGGAGAAAATATTTGCAAACTACCCATCTGACAAGAGATTAATAATCACAACATATAAAGAGCTCAAACAGGGCTGGGCGTGGTGGCTCACACCTATAATCCCAGCAATTTGGGAGGCTGAGGTGGGCAGATCACCTGAGGTCGGGAGTTCGAGACCAGCCTGACCAACATGGAGAAACCCCATCTCTACTAAAAACACAAATTTAGCTAGGCATGGTGGTGCATGCCTGTAATCCCAGCTAGTCAGGAGGCTGAGGCAGGAGAATCTCTTGAACCCAGGCGTCAGAGGTTGTGGTGAGCCGAGAGCACGCCATTGCACTCCAGCCTGGACAACAAGAGAGAAACTCTGTCTCAAAAAAAAAAAAAGAAAGAAAAAAAAAGAGCTCAAATAACTCTGTAGGAAGAAAATCTAATAATCCAATCAAAAAATGAGCAAAAGATTTGAATAGACATTTCTCAAAACAAGACATACAAATGGCAAACAGGCATATGAGAAGGTGCTCAACATCACTGATATCAGAGAAATGCAAATCAAAACTACAATGAGATATCATCTCACCCCAGTTAAAATAGCTTATATCCAAAATACAAGCAATAACAAATGCTGGGGAGGATGTGGAGAAAAAATAATTCTTATATACAGTTGTTGGGATTGGAAATTAGTACAATCACCAGGGAGAATAGTTAGGAGATTCCTCAAAAAACTAAAAATTGTGCTATCATATGATCTTGCAATCCTACTGCTGTGTATATACCCAAAAGAAAGGAAATCAGTATATCAACAAGATTTCTGCACTCGTATGTTTATTGCAGCACTGTTCACAATAGCCAGGATTTGAATGCAACCTAAGTGTCCATCAATAGATGAATGGATTTAAAAAATGTCATAGATATACACAATGGAATACCATTCAGACATCAAAATAAAGAAATCCAGTCATTTGCAACAACATGGATGGAACTTGTGATCATTATGTTAAGTGAAATAAACCAAACACAGAAAGACAAACATGGCATGGTCTCGCTTATTTGTGCGATCTAAAAATCAAAGCAATTGAACTCATGGGGATAGAGAGTAGAAGAATGATTACCTGAGACTAGGAAGGGTAATGGGGGGCTTGGGTGAGGGTGAAATGTTTAATGGGTAAAAATATAGTTAGAACGAATAAACAAGACTACAAATCGGTAGCAGAATAGGGTGACCATAGTCAATCACAACTTAATTGTACATTTTAAAATAACTTAAAATTTTTAATTGGATTGTTTGTAACTTGAAGGATAAGTGCTTGAGGGGATGGATACTCCCTTCTCTATGACATCCTTATTTCACATTGCATGCCTGTATCAAAAAATCTCATGTACCCCATAGATATATACACTCATTATGTACCCACAAAAATAATTTTTTAAAAGGAAATAAGAATGTACTTAGGTATAACTTTAAATATAATAGAAACTAAATATGTAATATATTAAATACTATTTTATTTCATCGTATGCTGTAATACTTCGGTTAACCAGAACCCAGTCCACTGGCACCTTGGCAAATCCGTATGTGAAAATGGGACAAAGGAATTAATATAAATCCAGAAGAACTAAAGATTTGGACTCAAATGTGGTCTGTTTGATATCTTCAGGTGAAATATTCAATTTACACTAAAGTCATAATAACATTCATTAATTACTTTAATTAAGGAGTATAACTTCAGGGTAGGCTTTGTATGATCCAGCCCTGGTCATATATAATCGTTACTTTCTTACCTAGTGAGAATAGAATCTGTCTGCCTGCCAGTTGACTCATGTTTTTACACCCCCCATACATAGTGAAACACCATTTCTTCAGTCATTAACCTAGACTTACTTTGCCAGCTAAGACGACGAAAGCCAATGTTATATTTCCATTTTAAAAATTAGACTCCTATTTTAAGGCTGTCCCTTTACACCTGCTTACTCTGAACTGCTGCAAGCCATGAAGCTATTCATGTAGCCTTAATCCAAGGACATACAGTTTGGTAGGGATAAAGAAGAAACAATGAAAAAGAAAAATATGCCATGCTAGATTGTTGGAATAAACACCAGCAATGAGATTAGTTATTACAAATGGGTCATTCTTCTCACCATCTGATTCCATGACTACCTCTGAGTCTCTCCATCTAGTGTAGCCAGTGTTATATGTTTATTCTTCAATTAAAAAGTAGGAAGCTGTCATTTTTTATAAAGCTCTACTGACTCTATTATTTTAAACATACAAATTTCAGAGTAAATATTTTATTTTTTCTTCTAAGTTTATGCTGTTTATGTAACATTTTTAGTAACAATTTTGAACATTTTCATGTGGCCTCTTTCCAGACATATCACTCTGGTTGAAGTTTCATGAGAAACATAGTTGTCTTCCAAAAAATAAGAGAATTAAGAGTGTAAACAAATATCAATGCACATATTTGAAGGTTTTGGTGGTTGATCCCACTAGTCTAGGCAGGGAATAACCCACTTTAAAGAACTGCACTGAATAAAACAATAAAAACTGTTAAATGGAAAACCCATTAATCAAAATAAATTTGTTGCCAACATACCAGTTAACTGAAATGTTACTGTATTGCTCTTTTACAGAAACATACTATTAAGGCTGGGGATGGTGGCTCATGTCTGTAATCCCAGCACTTTGGAAGGTTGAGGCAGGAGGATCACTTGAGCCCAGAAGTTTGAGACCAGCCAGGGCAACACAGTGAGGCTCCATCTTTACAAAAAAAATTTAAAAATAGTTGGACATGGTGGGGCATGCCTGTAGTGCCAGCTACTTGAGAGGCTGAGGTGGGAGGATCCTTTGAGCCGGGGAGGTTGAGGCAGCAGTGAGCCGTGTTTGCATCATTGCACTACAGCCTAGGAGATGAGTGAGAGACTGTCTCAAAAAAAATAAAATAAAATAAAATAAAATAAAATAAAAGGAAAAGAAACATGCAAACATACTATCAATCAGGAAATAGATTATTTACTGAATATGTACTGAATGCTTACTACTGTATTCGGCATAGTGATAATATTGGAAAATATAACGCATGAGCCCCACCTTATAGGAGCTTATAATTTGGATGGAGAGGAAAAAATTACATAAAAGGACAATTAAATACAAACAAATAAATGTATAAATATAATGTTCAACATGGTAGAATATATCATAGAGAAATGGTTAGTCTGGATGGACTAAGACTAGAGTTAACATATAGCAAAATTATTTCAGACTTTTGTAGAATTAACAAATACCACCATAGGATAAAAAAACAATAAAGATGATTGATAGAGTCAAATAGATCCACAACCTAAGAGGATTTTTTTTTTTGCAAAGATAAACAAAATTGATAAAATATGTTGAATTTTATCAAATTTTATCAATCTTTTAGCTAGACTAAGAAAACAAGAGAAGACTCAAATAAATAAAATCAGAACTAAAAGACCAGGCATTACAACTGATACCACAAAGATACAAAGAATCTTAAGAGGCTACTATGAAGAATCATTCACCAACAAATTGAATAACTAGAAGAAATAGATTAATTTCTGGAAACATACAACTTACCAAGACAGAATTATGAAGAAATAGAAAATCTTGCTGTGTGCGGTGGCTCATGCCTGTATTCACAGCAATTTGGGAGGCCGAGGTGGGCAGATCACTTGAGGTCAGGAGTTCGAGCCCAGCCTGGCCAACATGGTGAAATCCTGTCTCTACTAAAAATACACAAATTAGCAGGGCATGGTGGTGGGAGCCTGTAATCCCAGCTACTCAGGAGGCTGAGGCAGAAGAATCACTTGAACCTGGGAGGTAGAGGTTGCAGTGAGCTAAGATTGTGCCACTGCACCCCAGCCTGGGTGACAGAATGAGACTCTGTCTCAAGAAAAAAAAAAGAAACGAGAAAAGAAATAGGAAATCTTAACAGATTAATTACACATGAGGAGGCTGAATCAGTAATCAAAAATCTAACAAAGAAAACACCAGGAACAGATGGCTTTATTGGTGAATTCTACCAAATATTTAAAGCAAAATTACAATATAAGCAATCCCTCACAAACTCTTTTAAAAACTGAAGAGAGGAGAGAACACCTCCAAAACCACTTTATGAGACCAGCAATACCCTGTTACCAAATCCAGACAAGGACATTATAAAAAAAATTATATTCAATATGTCTGATAAACATTGATACAAATATCTTCAACAAAATACTAACAAACTGAAATCAGCAGCACATTAAAAAGATCATACACCATGATCAAGTGGGATTTATTTCTGGAATGCAATGATGATTAAACATATACAAATCAATAAATATGATACACCTCATTAACAGGATGAAAGACAAACATCATATAATCATCTTAATAGTTGCAGAAAAAATTTGATAAAATTCAACATACTTTTATCATTAAAAACTTTCAATAAATTAGATATAGAAGGAACATAGCTCAACATAACATAATAAGAATCTTATAAGACAAACCCACAGCTAACATTCTATTCAACAGTGAAAATTTGAAACTTTTCCTCTAAGATAAGGAATAAGACAAAGATGTCTCCTTTGCCACTTCTATTCAACATAGTACTAGAAGTCCCTGCCAGAAAAATTAAACAAGAAAAAAAAAGACATCCAAATCAGAAAGAAAGAAGTAAAATTTTCTGTGTTTGCAGGTGACATGACCTTGTGTAAAAACACTAACGATCCACCAAAACCTGTTAGAAATAATAAAGGAATTCAATAAAGCTGCAAGACACAAAATCAACATAAAAATACCAGTTGCGAATTTATATACTAACAACTAACTATTAAAAAAGTAATTAAGTAGACAATACAATTAACAATAAATTTTAAAAAATACAGCTGGACCCTTGCGCAACATGGGGGTTAGAGGCACTAACTTCCATGCTGTTGAAAATCCACATATGACCTTTGACACTCTAAAATCTTTACTACTAATTGCCTACTGTTGACTGTAAGCCTTGATGATAACATAAACAGTTGATTAACACATAGTTTGTATGTTATGTGTATCATATGCTGTATTCTTACAATAAAGTAAGCTAGATTAAAGAAAATGTTATTAAGAAAATCATAAAAAGAGAAAATATATTTACTATTCCTTAAGTGGAAGTGGGTTATCATAAAGCTCTTTATCGTTACCATCTTCACATAAATTAGGCTGAAGAGGAGAAGGAAGAGGTGGGGGTTTGGTTTCCTGTCTCAGGTCTGATAGAGGTGAAAGAAAACCATGTATCTGTAAACCTGTGTGGTTCAAACCTGTGTTGTTTAAGGGTCAACTGTACTTAGGGATAAGTTAACCACAGAGGTACAATATCTGTACACTGAAAACTGTAAAGTATTGATTTTTAAAAATGAAGAAGGGTTGGGCGTGGTGGCTCACACCTGTAATCCCAGCACTTTGGGAGGCCGAGGCAGGTGGATCACCTGAGGTCAGGAGTTCGAGACCAGTCTGGCCAACTTGGAGAAACCCTGTCTCTACTAAAAATACAAAAATTAGCTGGGCGTGGTGGTGGGCACCTGTAATCCCAGCTACTCGGGAGGCTGAGCAGGAGAATCATCGCTTGAACCTGGGAGGCGGAGATTGCAGTGAGCCGAGATTGCACCATTGCACTCCAGCCTGGGTGAGGAGACTGAACCTCCGTCTCAAAAAAAAAAAAAAAAAAAAAAAGGCCAGGCGTGGTGGCTCATGCCTGTAATCCCAGCACTTTGGGAGGCTAAGGCGGGCGGATCACAAGGTCAGGAGATCGAGACCATCCTGGCTAACATGGTGAAACCCCGTCTCTACTAAAAAATACAAAAAATTAGCCAGGCGTGGTGGCGGGGGCCAGCTACTTGGGAGGCTGAGGCAGGAGAATGGCATGGACCTGGGAGGTGGAGCTTGCAGTGAGCCAAGATCGCGCCACTGCACTCCAGCCTGGATGACAGAGCGAGACTCGGCCTCAAAAAAAAAAAAAAACAAAAAGAAGATAATACAAATAAATGGATACCCCATGTGCTTAGATTGGAAGAATTTATAGTGTTACCATGTCTATGATATCCAAAGCAATGTACAGATTTAATACAATTCCTATCAATATCCCAATAGCATTTTTCATGGAAATAGAACACAAACAACTCTAAAATTCATATGGAACCACAAAAACCTCAGAATAGCTAAAAGACTCTTGAGGAAGAAGAACAAAGCTGGAGGCATTACACTACTTGAGTCCAAACTACAGTACAAAGCTATAGTAATTAAAACAGTATGGTACTGGCATAAAGACAGACACATAGGCCAATGGAACAGAATGGAGTCCATTAATAAACCCACACATAGACAGTTAAGTAATCTTCAAGAAAGGTACCAAGAATGCACAATAGGGAAAGCATAGTCTCCTCAATAAGTGGCACTGGGAAAACTGGATATCCATATTCAAAAAGAAGAAACATAGACTCTTATCTTACATCACACACAAACATCAACTCAAAACTGATTAAGACTTAAATATAACTCATAAAACTGTAAAATTCCTAGAAGAAAACAGAGGAAAGCTCCTTGACATTTGTCTCAGCAGTGTTTTTTTTTTTGTTTGTTTTTTTGTTTTTTTTTTTTTAACGTGACACCAAAAGGATAGGCAACAAATGCAAAGATAAACAATTGGAACTACATTAAACTAAAACATTTCTGCATAGCAAAGGAAACCACTAAATGAAAAGGCAACCTACAGAATAGGAGGACATATTTACAAATCACATATCTGATAAGGGGTTAATATCTAAAATATACAACTAACTCATACAACTAAATACTTTTGAAAGATTATAAAACACCGAATAATCCAATGAACAATATGCAAAAGACTTGAATAGTCATTTTTCCAAAGACAAAAAAATGATGGCTAACAAGCACATGAAAATGTGTGCAACATCACTAATCATTAGGGAAATGCAAATTAAAACCATGATGAAATATTACTCCATTACCTGTTAGATTGGCTATTATAAAAAACAGTAAAAACATCAATTGTTAGCAAAGATGGGGGGAATAGGGAACCCTTGTAAACTGTGGGTGGGGATGTAAATTCGTACAGCCATTATGGAAAACAGTGTGGATGTTCCTCAACACCTTGAAAATAGACCTACAATGTGATTCAGCCATCCCACTTCTGGGGAATTTCCTAAGGAAATTAAATCACCATGCTAATGGGATATCTACGTTCTCATGTTCTTTGCAGCATTATTCACAATAGCCAAGATATGGAAGCAACCTAAGTGTCCATCAATATATAAATGAAGAAAATGTAATGTATATATACAATGGAATATTATTCAGCCCTTAAAAACAAGGAGATCCTGATATTTGTGACAACATTGATGAACACGGAGGACATTATACTAAATGAAATAATCTAGAGACATAAAGAGAAATAGTACATTGTTTCTCTTAGCGTGAAATCTAAAAATTCAAACTCAGAAACAGATTGCAGAATGGTCATTACCAAGGGCTGGGAGGGTGAGGAAAATGGGAAGAAGTTGGTGAAAGGGTACAAACTTTCAGTTAGAAGAGGAATAAATTCTAGAGACGTAATGTATTTGCTAAGAGGGCAGATCTCAAGTGTTCTCACCACAAACACAAAAAGGTAAATATGTGATGTAATTTACATGTTAATTAGTTTTACTGTGGTAATCATTTCACAATGTATATGTGTATCAAAACATAACAATGTATACCTTAAATTTATACAATTTTTATTTGTTAAATCTTACCTCATAAAGCTGGAAGAAAGAAAAACAAGAGGTTGTTATTGACATAAAATACTGTATTATTCCTCTGCCGCCTTCACCAAGAAAAACTTAAAAAAAACCAAGCACTGTATAATGATTGGCAAAATGCTGTAGAGGATCAGTTTACATGGAACAAGCACAGCAGCAGAAAATGTTATTCTTGACATTAATAATAAATGTAAGTGTAAATGAAGTCAGGCCAATTACCAGAAAGAAGCATTACTCCTGCAGCCAAGGAGAAGGGAAGAAGACCCTAACAGGTCCCTTTCTTTTTATTTCCCGAAAGCAGCCTTTTAAAGCAGTTTTGTCAGTCTTCCTGCAGATTTTCAGGCCCTGAGAAAATTAGGCTTTTCTAATTTCATCAGTTCTAAATTTATTACTTCCCAGAAACACAACTTTAATGTAGAGGCATCCCTAACCTCCAACTCTTTCTCTAAAGGAGGGGGAGAAAAAAGCCAAGAGTCTAACATGAATTTTAGCACAATTCATAGCTTAATATTTTTAAAAATATGTACAATATTCATTGAACTTGCAGCTTCTCATCTATAAAAGGATGATTCAAAACAGTGATAGTCATAGCAGCTTTTTTCTATTTTTTGAAATAAAACACAGCCTTACAGGTGAGGAGAAAGTTAATAAAGGATATACTCTTCCAATTTCTGTTCATCTGCTGAAAGCACTAGGTAATATATGTTCAAAATTACTTTTAATAAAATATAAACCAGTCTACTGTTAACACATCACATTGGGAAACTAATTAATGAGAACACAGATTTTGCAAACTTGTTAATCTGAAAGGACTCTAAACTTTAACAAATTTCACCTTGGTGTGTTATGTTCTTCTTTGCACACAGATCTAAACTGGTTTTCAAAATGCTTAGTTATGCATGCAAATGAATATTGGTACAACCTGTGTGGCCAATGCTATCTCCTGATTTAATGATTTTTATTGCTTCCTGATAACAAGAATCTCATCACTTTTTTTCACTCTTGTATTTCCAAGGCTACACCCAATAGCTAGCATATTGTAAGTGCTCATTAAATGTTGGACTTAAGGAAAAATTATTTAATTCAAAAACATAGGTTATTCCTCCCAAACTCTGCCCCAAACTACACCCCATTTACACCAGTAGTGAAGCAATATCTGATAGTTAAAGCATAAGATTTAATTTCTACCAGACCTAAGTCCTTGCTCCACCACATATTAGCTGTGTTAAACTTAGCTTCAGTTGACTCATCTAAAATATAGAAATAATAAAAATAATTGCCCCATAAGGCTGTTGAGAGTCCAAAACAAGATAATCTTTCTCAAGCTGTGAGCAAACTAAGTGTAATAAAAGATGATTCTGAGAAGATGATGGTGATGGCAGTTTTTGAAACTCCCAGAATCTCCTTAGAGAAACAGAGCAACCTGACAGCAACACCAAAAAACCAGAGACAATATTTACAACTGCACTAGGTGACAAGGTTTTCTCATGATTCTTAAAACACAAGTGGTGGAGAAAAACACCACCCATAGCCACAAGACCAGGACGTTATCAAGGTCAGTGTGGAAATGAGCAGAGAGGCACAATAGGGTGGCTGAACCTGAAAACACAAGAATGCCAAAATAGCAAAGAAGTGTTCACAGGAAAGCACAGTAGGCAAAGTCGAGAAAGTAACTGAAATTGAGAGGCGTTTGGCCCCTTCCAAAAGTCAGTGAGCTCAAGGGGTCAGCATTTATGACTGAAGCGACTACAGTAGTGTAGATTGATATACATTTGAAAATGACTAGCCAGGGCTTCCTTCTAGAGCAAGGCACTACACCAAGACAAAACTACAAAACTATCTTGCCTTCATCTGGAAGTTTAAGAAACCTAATTGTACATAAGCATGAGCAATGGAATATTATTGAGGACAATCTCACATAAGTTACTATAAGATTTAAAAAAAAAATAAGGAGCAGAATAGCATCCCTCCAGCTCATAAAAATTGATTAAAATGAATACTTACTATTTAAAAATGAGCTAACAGACATTAAGAAAATTATACAATACGCAAAAAAGCAATATAAAGCAGAGTTAGATATTGTTAAAAAAAAACTTAAGTGACAACTAACAAAACAATTGGAAATAAAAGAAAAAATTAATTTCAAAAATGTTCCTTCTAAATTCAAAGGAATAGACAAAGAAACAAAACGGATACAGGTCAAACAGAGGAAATTTCTTGAAATGCAAAAAAAAAAGAAATTAAAAAATATGATAATGATTTAATAAAAAGTGTCAAATGTTGAAAGCATGTAAACGCGAGTCAACATATAAATCACAAGAATCACTGAGGAAGAAATCAATAACAAGGTAACTGAACAAATGCAAACTAAAAAAAAAATTGAAACAACATATTGAAAGAACACACCAAGTTCCTGAGAACATCAATCCAGAATTACCAACACCAAGATACATACTTAAAAAAAAAAAAAAGAATTAAATAGGATTAACAAAAAAGAGAAAAAATCCTTGGAACGTCTAAGAGAAAGTGATTTCTGCAAACACAGTGTGAAGAGAAAGCCAGACATTGGCCAGAGACCTCAGAACTCAAGGAAAGACATGATGGTGAACTCCCTGGGTTTTCTTTTTGCCTTATGTATCCCAGACTGGGTACTGGAAAAGCCAGTAACCTGGAAGCACCAACAGACCAAAAAAAAAAAAAAAAAGAAAGTCTTAACAAAAGCCTGTTCTCAGTAGCCAAACGTCCTGGAAAGAGACAGCTTACCAAGGGAGAGAATGTTAGATGATAACTTTTTAACTCCAGCCAAACACCACAGGAAAAAAATGCAGCCCCACCCAACACACACCAGCCAAGAGGAGGGTGTAGACTTCTACCATTGCCAAACTGTAACAAGGATCCTTAGCCCCCAGCCCCCGCTTCAGGTTGATATCAGAGAAGATTGTGCAGAAAGTAGTAATTAGTCACTCTTACTCTTCTCAGCCAAGGAAGTATCAGTGGAGACCTAGTGGAAAGCCAGAGCTCCCATCTTAAGCTAGCAATGACAAGCAACTCCCCCTTTCAGGTGCAAAGCTGAATGGAGAACCCAAAATTTATTGCCAGGCACAACCCTGTAGTAAGGAGGTGCCCTTCTTCCTCCCCACCAGAGTAGATGGTATCAGAGAAGACTTAGTGAAAAGTCAGGTCCCTCACTTCAGCACAACAGTAGTGAGGCTAGCCCCCCAAAGTTCAGGGAGGCCACGCAGTGAGTAGTAATGAGGCCACTCTGCCATTCCCTACAACAGATAACAGCAGAGGCCTAGTAGAAAAAAGGTATACCCTAGCCCCACCTAGCAGTAAGTAGGAGCCCCTGCACCTCCTGTGTGTTAACAGAAGTTGAGTGGGAAATTGGGATTTCCGCTATCCCTGGAAATAATGAGGCAGTGCCCCCTTTCTCACTGGAGTGGTGTCAGATAAGGCCTGCTAAAGCAGAAAATTTAAATGAAGTTTGGAGTTTCATAATAAAATTCAGAAAATGTCCAGATTTCAATTGAAAATCACTCATCATACCATGAAGCAGGGAAATCTCCATATAAAAGTGATAAAGCAAGCAACAGACACCAACACCAGAATGACAGAATTGTTAGAATTATTTGGGAAGAATTTTAAAACAGCCATCATAAAAATCTCCCAACAAGCAACCACAAACACATTGAAACAAATGAAAAAAAAAAATAGAAAGTTTCTGCAAAGATATGGAAAGTCCCAGAAAAAACAAAAGATATAAATAAGAGTCAAATGATAAATGTATGAGGTGACAAATATGTTAAATATCCTAATTTGATCATTATACAACCTATAGATGTATCAAAACATAAAATTGTACCCTATAAAACTGTATAATCATAATGGATTAATTATAAAAGAATCAAATGGAAACTCGAATAAAAAATACAATAACAAAAATAAAAACTCAGTGGATGGGTTTAACAGCAGAATGGAGAGGACCATTCTGGAGAGGAAAAGATCAGAGAATCTTTTGAAGAGGAAAGAATCAAAGAAATTGAAAAAAATCATATTTAATCTATTTGAACAACAGAAAGAAAATAGCCTATAAAAAAATTAACAGAGCCTGAAGTTTGTGTAGGATTATAACAAAAGATCTAATGTTCATTTCTTCAGAGTTCTGGAGAGAAGAAAGAGGGTAGGGCTAAAAAGGTATCTGAAGAAATAATAGATGAAAAATTTACAAATCTGGCAAACAAAACACAAACCTACAGATCCAAGAAGCTGAATGAATACAGTTAAATCTATTTTTTTGTAAGGACTTCTCAGAACATTGACTATGCTAATATGCATTTGAAATCAAAATTTCATAAATTGATTAGATATACAACCATTTTTTTTCATAACTGTAGTTAGGGTTCATGCCACTACCTCCCACATGGGCTTAAATTTACATTCTGTATTGTTTCCTTTGGCTTTTCTCTTCTTATTCTTTTTTTTGTTGTTGTTTTTGAGATAGAGTCTCGCTCTGTTGCCCAGGTTGGAGTGCGGTGGCACGATCTGGGCTCACTGCAAGCTCCGCCTCCTGGGTTCACGCCATTCTCCTGCCTCAGCCTCCCGAGTAGCTGGGACTACAGGCGTCCACCACCACACCTGGCACATTTTTTTGTATTTTTGTCAGAGGCGGGGTTTCACCATGTTAGCCAGGATGGTCTTGATCTCCTGACCTCGTGATCTGCCCGCCTCGGCCTCCCAAAGTGCTGGGATTACAGGCATGAGCCACCGCGCCCGGCCTTCTTTTCTTCTTCTTTCTCTTTTCTTTTTTTTTTTCACAAGAAATGTTGGGAATCCAATGACAGTAGCTTTTTTTATTTAAGAAGTGTAAGCAACATTGAATCAGGAAGGATGGACTTTCTTGAGGCCTTCTAGTATCACAGCAGGTAGCCTCCCTCTGAAGGATGTGTGATAAACACTGTCCAATGAAACAGGGTCTCATCAGGCCCACTGTGGTTTGAAAACCTGCCTAACCCCTAGTAGCAGATTCCTGGATAGTGAAGGTGATGGAGAGTCTGGGTATATGAGGTAATAGATGCAGAAAACCAAACCCAATTTAGGGTTCCTTCAGCCAGTTGGTTCCCTGTGAAATGGATATATATTTGAATCAAGAAGTGAATTCTTGGAAGCCCAAGAATGGGTAGCCTTGGACAGCTGAGCTTATTCACATTGAGTAGTATAATCATTCTCTTTGGAAGAACCCTAAGCGATTGTATTGAGTTCCGGATCTGCACTGGTCTGTGTCCTCTACCACAGTATGTAAGACTAGTGTTCGACAACTGCATCACATGACAGCCAGGAGCAGTGGCCATAGCAGACTGATCAAAAGTAATTGCAAAATATCCAGGCAGTTCATTTAATCAAATGCTGCCTAATCTCTGATCACTTGAACACATAATCAGCTACACACTTCTGCCCACTTGAGAATTATTGATTCCCATTAAAACAAATACAGGTCCAGGTGACACATATTATAATTATCATAGGTAATGTAATTACTGCATGCGAATTGATTGCTATAATTAGTTTATGGTTATTTGTATGAGAGAGAGAAGTAAATTGCAATGTTTGGGGGAAAAAAAGATTAAGACAACATATCCCTCAGCAAAGAGGAAGACACATTAAGTTAACAATATATGTCAACATGACACATGTCTTAAGATATATTAACTGAACAATTCCTAGTAGCAGATTTTGAATTACTTCAGTATGAGGAGGAGAAGGGAGGACTAGATATGGGAAAAAGAGGAAGAGAACATAGAAGATTCAAAGAGAGGAATGGAAAGAAGGGAAAGAAAAAGGAGAGACAGAATAGGAGAAAAGAGAGGAAAGGGAAGAGAAAGCAGCCAACTTCACACAGAAAATTAATCTAATATTATAATAATAGTGCTATGTATTATAGTATTGCTCATCAAAAGAACATAGCTCTATACTATAATACAGGTATATTCTATCCCAAGATTTTTCTCTGGTTTTAAATTTTAAAATTTTAACTTCTAAAAAGAATTGGCTTTGATATCCTCACAGCTCATAAATGAAAAAAACAACAACAAAAGTGCCATTATATCATGGGAGATACAAAGATGAATAAGAATGGTTTCTCTCCAGATAAAATTATTTTTGTGAGAGTTTTTTATAGTTTTTAAATAATTTTCAATAGTTTTTTAATAGACCATTTTTTTTTGAAAGACCATTGGGTCTTTCAAAATGAACCTTAACACAAATTTTGTGCATTTGTGAAATGCAAAAAACAAAAAAAGTCACTTCATGGTAATACTTGTTTCAAACATTTTGTTTCTCTTTTTTTCTGACTCTTGTTGTATTTCTCAAAATGAAAATGAGTGTTTCCATAAAATTCCTAACATTTATTATAGGCAAATTATGTATGAAGCATTTTTCCATCATACAATGTAAAATCTTCATAGTGGATAGTATGAATCATTTGTAATATAAATTAAATATAAACTTTAAAAAATACCAACCTGAGAAATTATAAAGCTTTTATATAAATAATGAGTAGATTTAAAATAAATAAGCACCTGTCCATTGTCATCCAGACATAAGGTAAGCAGTAGACACTCATTAAGTTTAATAATATAACCCAATTTAATGTTATTTGATTAAGAAGAAATATGTCTGGGTCGAGTGTGGTGGCTCATGCCTGTAATCCCAGCACTCTGGGAGAATGAGGCAGGTGGATCACTTGAGGTCAGGAGTTCCAGACCAGCCTGGACAACGTGAAATCCCATTTCTACTAAAAATACAAAAATTAGCTGGACATGGTGACAGGCACCTGTAATACCAGCTGCTTGGGACGCTGAGGCAGGAGAATCTCTTGAACCCAGGAGGCAGAGATTGCAGTCACTTGAGATCACTCCATTGCACTCCAGCCTGGGTGACAGAGGGAGACTCCATTTCAAAAAAGACAATGTTAAATCATTCCTTTTGTAGGAGACAATTTTCATTTTTGGCCTGGCCCTATCTAAAATATTTCAGTTAATTTTTTATCATGATGATATTAGGGAGTGAATTGGATTGAATACATTGCCAATTCATTTGCTCAGGCAAACTTTTAGACAGCTGAGAGCAAGGTTTTAATTACATACAACATGGTAAGACAGAATGATGGCCCCCAAAGATGTCTGAGCTCCAATTCCAGAACCTGTGACTATGTTATCTCACATAGCAAAAGTGACCTTGGCAGATGTGATTAAGGTTAAGGTCCTTGAGATGGAGAGACTCAAGGACCTGGGTTAGGCAGGTGGGCCCAATCTAATCACATGAGTGCTTAAAAAAGGACAACATTTCCCAGATCTAGTCAAAGGGAGACATGAGGTGAAGAAGGGTGAGAGAAATGCAGAGTCGCTTTGAGGATGGAGGAAGAGACATGAGCCAAGGAAGGTGGAAAAGGCAAGGAAATGGCTTCTCCCTTAAAGGCTCCAGAGGAAATAAACCTATTGTCACCATGATTTTAGTCCACTGAGTTCTGTTGGGCCTTTAACCTTCAGAAATATAAAATGATAGATTTGTGTTGTTCTTAGCCACTAATTTGTGATACCGTGTTACAGCAGCAATAGAAAACTTACATACACATAAATATGGCTCAGTTGCTACATCTTGACACTAACATAGTATCAATGACATACATAAAGAATGAATTTTAAAATGGTTGATTCATACATAATTTAATAGAAAGTTAGCACATTTATAATTCAATTAAATCTTTATTAACTTTATTTCTCTAAACTACTTTGAATTCTTAGATGTTTACTATTTTAGTGGGTATAATTGAAAATGGTATCCCCCAAAAATTGGCAGTTGAAACTGCCAGAATTTTTAAATGAGTTGTTCTATTTCTTCCTTACCTCATTCCATAAAATCTACTTTCAAGAAGGGGTTGAGGTTAACTGTGCTGAAATAAGCTTCTCTGAGCTAATCACTAAAAGAAATAGATTCATAAGGAATGAAGCCAGATAGGAAAGTGAGGGAAGAGGCATCTGTTGTCCTCACTGTGGTGGTATATATCCCCGTGGGAGGCTGAAAAACATCTGTGCTTCATGAAACCCTTCCGTGAAAGAATTATGCGTCTCTACCAGACATTTCAAGCTCTTTAAAAAAAGATGCATTTTAAAAAGACAATTTTCCATACTAGCATTTAACTTAGCATTTGGCTTAGTTTTATTCTGAATTAATTTAAGTTTCCTATGAAGTAGATTTCAAGCTAGATGTGGATTTCTGCTAGTTTTATAAAGCATACCCTTTCCCTCTGAAATGGTAACTCCATGAGTTTGGAAGACAGGAAAGAAGACAAGAAGGTTGTATTTAAAAGTTAAGTCCGGATATAAGCAAAAACAAACAAAAATCTCAGGAAAATCTCCATTTCAGTTGGAATATGGCAATGTTCTTTGAAGAATGCAAAGCCTCCAGGGGAAAAATAGGGTTTGAGTATGGTTTTCCCTGAATGTCGTAAATTAAACTTTTTATTTATTTTTTATTTTTATTTATTTACTTATTTTGAGACGGAGTCTCACTCTGTCACCCAGGCTGGAGTGCAGTGGCACGATCGCGGCTCACTGCACCCTCCGCCTCCCGGGTTCAAGCAATTCTCCTGCCTCAGCCTCCTGAGTAGCTGGGATTATAGGCATGCGCCACCACACCCAGCTAATTTTTGTATTTTTAGTAGAGATGGGGTTTCACCATGTTGGTCAGGCTGATCTCAAAACCCTGACCTTGTGATCCACCCGCCTGGGTCTCCCAAAGTGCTGGGATTACAAGCGTGAGCCACCACACCCGGCCGGACAAATTAAACTTTAAGCATGTAAAACCTAGTAGATTTCCATTTCTGTTAATATGGAAAAATAACCAGAAAACTCTCCTGCTACAAAACCCATAGAACTGCTGAAGAAAACATAGCAACACTGCTTTATGTGTATTACTTAGATCATAAGAAAAGGAAAGCAATCCTTAGAGGAACAACACAAAAAAAGTCCTGACATCAAGGCTGCCCTAGCGATGATGTTGTGGTGGCGGGTGTGCAGGTTATGGGAGGGCTTATGGTTCCTCAAACCAAGGGGCCTGTGATTCAATTGCAAGGAAAGAGCACAAGGCACAAGGCTAAGGTCTTAGGTTCACTTGAAGTGGGAATTTGGAAATGAGATCCCCTGAACAAAGCCAAGACTTTGAAGAAGCATACATATGTTGGATTTTAAAAAATGCCATCAGAACAGTGAGATTCCAAGGAACTATGCCTATGTTAGTCTGGTCTCTGGATGGGGGGCGGGAGAAAGGCTCTCCTGAGAACTTATAAATGCAGATTTTCATTTTAACAGGTTATGGTCTGAATTTATACTACTCACATGATCCACGGATACCTAAAGTAAAATATTAAAGTAAAAAGTGGTCCCCAGAAGGTAATACTCCCAGGTTGCCTTAGCAGTGGTAAACTCAAAACTTGTCTAGGAGGAATGTTCAATCCAGGCAGAAGAGGATTCCTACAGATAAATTATCTCTGAAGATTAGCTCAGAGTTCAAAATTTGCCGTAGAAAAGAGTCAACAGCCACAACAAATAGCTCTGGTGTTACTCCAAGAACTTTTAAGAATCATTAAGTAGATAAAAAGAACTATCTTTAAATTGATTAAAGAAACAGTACCAAATAATGTTTAAAAAACTAAGGAAAGAACATTATGACAAAAGTTCACACATATTCTTAAAGAGATTAAACTAATAAAAATGAATAAATACATAGGTGTTGAAACTAAAAGCTAGCAGAATATTTATTAAAAAAGTGAAAACCTCCGGAGTGATATGATTCTAATGAGTAAAAATCTATTAAAACGGTTTCAATAAGGTAGAGTAAAAATTAGGACAGTCATGCCACACAGTTTTCACTTTATTTTAAAGTCTCCCCTGATTTAAAAATAATACTATAATAATCCTAAGGTTAAAGAACATCATTGACTTACAGATATCCAGATGTATATTTTGTAGTAAAAAAACTGAAAAGCAATTTTCATATGAAGTATGCAGTAGTAAATTGAGATGATTTTCCAGATTAAACTAAAGACTTCGAATGTAACTTTAGATACTAATAACACAATAAGAACACAGTCTACATATATAATAAATATCTCTATAAATATGAGCAATTTTCTATGATATGTTTTGTTTACAGATTATAACATATAGTATTTTTCACATACACATATATTCTTCATTTTATTAAATTGGCTTTATTGGTGGTTGATATGGTTTGGCTCTGTGTCCCCACCCAAATCTCATCTTGTAGCTCCCATAATTCCCACATGTTGTGGGAGGGAACTGATGGGAGATGACTGAATAGGGGGGTGGGTCTTTCCCGTACTGTTCTCCTGACAGTGAATGGGTCTCCCGAGATCTGATGGTTTTAAAAACGGGAGTTGGGCCCCGCAGCTGGCTCCACTTAGTTCTCTGCCTCCGCACGGCAGCCCCGGCCATAGCCGCCTCCTAGCCCACTGCCACCACCTCTAAGCATAAGATGGCTGTGCCACCCATGTATGCCAATCTTGGCAAGTCTGCCAGGGATGTCTTCACTAAGGGCTATGGATTTGGCTTAATAATGCTTGATTTGAAAACAAAATCTGAGAATGGGTTGGAATTTACAAGCTCAGGCTCAGCCAATACTGAGACCACCAAAGTGACGGGCAGTCTGGAAACCAAGTACAGATGGACTGAGTACGGCCTGACGTTTACAGAGAAATAGAACACCGACAATACACTAGGCACCGAGATGACTGTGGAAGATCAGCTTGCACGTGGACTGAAGCTGACCTTCGATTCATCCTTCTTACCTAAGACTGGGGGAAAAAAGATGCTAAAATCAAGACAGGGTACAAGCAGGAGCACATTACCCTGGACTGCAACATAGATTTCGACATTGCTGGGCCTTCCATCCGGGCTGCTCTGGTGCTGGGTTACAAGGGCTGGCTGGCCGGCTACCAGATGAATTTTGAGACTGCAAAGTCCGGAGTGACCCAGAGCAACTTTGCAGTTGGCTGCAAGACTGATGAATTCCAACTTCACACTAATGTGAATGACGGGACAGAGTTTGGTGGCCTCATTTACCAGAAAGTGAACAAGAAGTTGGAGACTGCTGTCAATCTCACCTGGACAGCAGGAAACAGTAACACGCGTTTCGAAATAGCAGCCAAGTATTTGATTGACCCTGAAGCCTGCTTCTTGGCTAAAGTGAACAACTCCAGCCTGATAGGTTTAGGATACACTCAGACCCTAAAGCCAGGTATCAAACTGACACTGTCAGCTCTTCTGGATGGCAAGAACGTCAATGCTGGTGGCCACAAGCTTGGTCTAGGACTGGAATTTCAAGCATAAATGAATACTCTACAATTGTTTAATTTTAAACTATTTTGCAGCATAGCTACCTTCAGAATTTAGTGTATCTTTTAATGTTGTATGTCTGGGACGCAAGTATTGCTAAATATGTTACCCCTCCAGGTTAAAGATGATTCAGCTTTAAGATGTTACCCTTTCAGAGGTACAGAAGAAACTCATTTCCAAAAAAGGCCCTTTCAGTGGTAGACTTGGGGGAACTTGGCAGCCACTTTGAGATGCCAGGTTTCTTTTTTCTCTAGAAATGGCTGCAAGTGGAAGCTGATAATATGTAGGCGCTTTGTAAGTTCATATTGAGTAAATGAATGAAATTGTGATTTCCTGAGAATCGAACCTTGGTTTCCTAACCCTAACTGATGAGGGGCTTGCTGCTTGATGGTGTGTACAAACTCACCTGAATGGGACTCTTTTAGACAGAGCTTCATGACCTTTTCCCAGCCCAGTTCATCTTTACCTCTTTTACACCAAAAGGTCTGCAGGGTGTGGTCACTCTTTCTTTTGTGCCATTTTGGGGTGGAGAGGGTGGATGTGATGAAGCCAATAATTCAGGACTTATTCCTTCCTGTGTTGCGTTTTTTAGCCCTTGCACCAGAGTATGAAATAGCTTCCAGGAACTCCAGCTATAAGCTTGGAAGCGTCTGTGTGATTGTAATCACATGGTGACAACACTCAGAATCTAAATTGGACTTCTGTTATATTCTCACCCTTCAATTTGTTTTTTAGCAGTCTAATGGGTACATTTTAGAGTCTTCCATTTTCTGTGGAATTAGATCCTCCCCTTCAAATGCTGTAATTAACATCACTTAAACTTGAATAAAATATTGAAACCTAAAAAAAAGAAAACAACAACAACAACAGGAGTTACCCTGCACAAGCTCTCTTTTTGCCTGCTGCCATCCACATAAGGTGTGACTTGTTCCTCCTTGCCTTCCACTATGATTGTGAGGCTTCCCCAGCCATGTGGAACTGTAAGTCCAATAAACCTCTTTCTTTTATAAATTGCCCAGTCTCAGGTATGTCTTTATCAGCACAATGAAAATGGACTAATAGAGTGGTATAAAAGGTTAAGTGGTAGATCCAGAAAATAACCTATAATTTCTGATTCCAAATCATTTTTTTTCTAATGAATCATTTTTTTGCAACAGCAAGCAGTGGGGGACTTATCAGCTAGCCACATTTTTTTTTAATCAGATACTGCATCATTGTAGACTTCCAGAGCACTTAGGAAACCACAACTATAGATCTTTGTGGAATATACAATTTCGGCAAGGACAAGCCAAATTTTTCTTGAATAATTGAAAACATAGCCCAGATAGGAACCAGTGTGATGGAACTTGGTTCTCCTTCATTTTTTCCTTATTCAATTCTTCATTCAAAGATTGAATGGGGAGTGAGATAAAATCACACATAACCTGTCAGTCATAGCACTGTCGAGTTAGCTATTAAATATTTACAAAATGTAAGACTGTCACTGTACTGTGAGTTTCTTGAGGAATGAGAACAAGTCTTGCTCACTATATATATATATATTTATATATTCAGTGTATATATATATTCAGTGTATATAAATATATTCAGTGTATATATATATTCAGTGTATATATATATATATTCAGTGTATATATATATATTCAGTGTATATATATATATATATTCAGTGTATATATATATATATATACATATATAAAATATATACACTGTGTACAACCTCACACAGGACTTCAAAACTAGTAGACACTCAGTGATATTTACTGAATTGACAAATTAACTAAATTCAACTGCTATTCATTTCTTTCTTTTTAAATATATAAAAGTAGTAATACAGTTTTATAATTTGATATGTGTTACATATCTTTCATCAAAGCAACATAAAATGCTCTATACAGATCTCCAGTTTGGGGCTGGGCATGGTGGTTCATGCCTGTAATCCCAGAACTTTGGGAGGGCGCAGCGGGATGATCTGTTGAGCTCAGGAGTTGGAGACCAGCAAGGCCAATGTAGTGAGACCTTGTCCCTACTATAAACAACAACAAAATTTAGCCAGTGTGAGCCTGTAGTCCCAGCTACTCGGAAGGCTGAGGCAGGAGGATTGCTTGAGCTCATGCCACTGCACTACAGCCTGGGCGAGATCCTGTCTCAAAACCAAACCAAATTAAAACAAAACGAAAAAACCCTCCAGCTTTTTAAAATTGTCACTTGCTGAAATTACTTCCCTAAGATATCCATCAAAAGATACAGAGCTAGAAAGAGCTGTGAATACTGTCGAGAAATCATTAAAATGTGATATAGATTGGTCAAGGAAACATTCCTGCTTTGGGTCAGCTTGAGAGCCTTTGCTTTGAAAGAAGTGCTGAGTATTGCTGGTGGAGAAGTGTATAGAGGGCAGTTCAGAAAGATGGAATTGCCTGACCTAGGATTCCAAGACTATTTTAATAACATAAATACTCTGGTTCAGGTTAGAGCTGTCAGCTTTTAAAATGCTAAAATTTCTACTCCACTTCTTGCTTTCATTCAATTGAGTTTTGTCCTAAACTTAGGGTAAACAGCCAAAGCTGTTTTTACTTCTCAGAAATTAGACACCAAACGTATTCTTGCTAATTTTAAACCAGGGCATTTAAAGATAAGATATCATTTGGTAATCTCATCAGTGCCTGCCCATTTTTTGATGCAATCCTCAAACTGTTGACTGTTGAGACAGCTTGATGAGTCAAATTTTTGAAAATTGTATTAACTCACTGCTTTTTAAAATGTTTGCCTTTAGATATAGCATTAAACAATTGGATTGGTTGCTATATGACTGTTTTGTTATTCAGTAATTACCATTTGGTCATAATTTCATTGGCAGTGAAGATAAGGCATACTTCAATATTTTGCTTTTAAATTATTTGTAGGAACATCTATGATGACTGTAGCTCCACGGATTTGTAATCACTTTATGGAGAAACAGAGCATCTCTTTGCAGTAAATAAAACAGCACACACTCTGAACATTAGAAAAACAAGTCAAATGAAGGGGAACAGCATATAATAATGTTAAGGTCCTTAGTGTGGGAGTGAAGGGATCTGAATTTTAGTCCCAGCCCTGTTACTAACTAGTTGTGTCTCTTTGAGCAAGCCATTTTTATTCTCTGAGCTTTTGTTTCCTTATCTATAAAATTATATGCTCCATTTTCACGGTAAAAAGAATATAATATGAATGGCATTGGCAGGCAGGAAAAGCGGAAATACATTAAAGAAGACAATATAAAAAGTAAAACAGCCTGCCGTTACTCTTTCTTGTCTTGCATTTACACTTTAACAAAAGTATTAAGTTGTCTTAATATTCTTAAGCAATGAAATTGTTATAGGTTAATTTAAACCCCAGAAGGCTAATTTTGCCAGTTTCATAGTCCATATCTTGCCAAACAGAATTTGTGACACCTCACTCTCAAGAACAAACCTACTGAATTTTATTATGGTTATCTATTCACAACTGATACCCTGTTCATGTTTGTTACAAGCATATTAACATGATGTCATTAGTATACGATATGTTCAGTCTGAATTTTATCTCGAACACCATTAAAATAGTTTTACAATGCATTCAGATATACAGAAAATTCAACATATTTGATTTATTATTACATTTTAAACAGACAAAAATGCCCTTGTGGAAGGCTCATATACAATAATAAATGCAGATATGAAGTACTGAATTACACATACCATATACCTCAAATCATCAGAGATAGCTCTAGAATTAGGCTATGCCCTGAAATATTGGAAGAATCCTGGAAACTGAGAAAAATGATAGCAGCTGCTGTCATTGATGGTGGCACCAAACCAAACTGCGATGTCTAGAAGTATTAATCACAGAGCCCTGAGCCCTGACCCCTGTCTTTATCACCATCTCAAAAACCAGAGGGTAAAGATGTAAGATGAATAAGCAAAATACCATGAGGAAGTTTGAGTGGACAAGAGGAAGAGATTGAGGATCAGACAGACAGCAAGGGGATAGCAGCTGCCCACAGAATATAAGTAGGGAGAAATAGGGAGATTCCTCTTTCACCTATTCAAGAAACATCCCTTGTGCACCTATTATGTGCCCGACACTACTGGGTGTTGTTAATACAAAAATGAATTTGATCTAACCATGCTTATCACAGAGCTTCCTGTACAGCAAAGTGAGGCAGGGACACATAAATCTTGAAACACATTATGGTAAATGTTACAATGAAGAGATGTGCGAAGTGTGATTGGTAGCCCAGAAAAACAATCAACCTCCCCGGAGACTCAGGAAACTCTTCACATAGGAATTATTACATGAGTTGGGGCTTAGTAGAAGAATAAGCATTTTCCAGGTAAGGGAGAAAGTCAAAGTGAGTATAGGCAGAGAAAAGCACAGTCATAAGAAAGGGACCCGAAAGACCACTCAGGCTAACGGGACTAGGTATAACTTGCTCTGCTGCAGCTCTTGGTGTATGTTGTGGAGGCAGAATGTTAACAAAAAGTGGAAAAGAAGGGACTGGGAAAAGCAGACTGGAACCATGTGATGAAACTTCTCATCTGCCATGTTAGACTTTGGATCTTACCCCTCATGCAATAGACAAGTGAATAAGATTTACAAAGGAGGGTTATACGATCAGAACTGTTTTCTTAGATTGCTGAATCTGGGGAAAGGGTGGAGGGTTATTTGGACAGGGAGAATTTACAACTTGAAGGAGAAAACAATTAGGAGCCTGGATTACAACTGTCTAAGGAAGGTTTAAAAATCCAAATGCTTTCGAAGGCCTCAGAAATCATGCAAATTTAAAGCAGAACCCAGCACACTCACCCTGCCCCCAGGTATTACATTCAAATGTTTAATAAAGGAAACAAACTATGCTGGCCAAGTATGATTTAGGATGGAATTAGGTTGAGATGCCAGTTTTTTAGATCATATGTAGGAGAAAGGGTGATGACATTGTAAATTATGGCATGGAGAAATGAGAAAAAAGAGAAGATGAATTCAAGGTCTCTTTGAGTGATGAGTGAGACTGACTGTTCCTGCTACTTCTGAATCACTAGGAAATCAGGATATTCACTACAAATGCTTAACATGTGCTCATTGACTCAGTTCACTCATAGCTAAGGAGAAAGCAAGAGAGAAGTCTTTGCCCCTTATACACTGCCATTGAAACAAAATCCTGCATAGGTACAGTTATAAGTCAATGTGGTTTGGGGTATTTCTTTCTTTAACATATTGAAAATAATTTGGGCCTAGCAATAAAGAAAATTAGCTAGTCTTAGTCAGAAGCTGGTTTATTTGTACAGTTATCTATTTTTGTAAGGCTGACGGTGGCTGAATTAAGCACCTGGGCAAAAACACAAAATAAACAACCATGCTACAGCAATGACAAGAGGCCAACAGACTATATAATTAGAAGTGATTTTCTTTTTATTTGTTAAAAGAGATTTTCAATTACAACTCTATGATAATTTTATACAATTAACCCTCTTACTCTTGCAATTTATATCTAAATAGATATATTTTCTACAACCATAGTGTGGCAGGAAAGGATGCAGACATGGTGTCTACTTAGACTTGGAGTGAGGGAAACATAAATGAGGAAGTACAGATACTTGATTCTAAGGGTTGAACAATTTCTGGACAAAAGAGGAATTCTAATGGATAAGAATAATGGATTGAATACCAGTAGTTATCTCAAAACCAAAGTGGAGCATTAATATGGCTTTTCTTCACTTAAGCTAACCTGATCACAAATAATTACAGAGGTAATATGGATAAATATAATCTTAAAAACTACTATATGTGGTAAAAAGCACCATATGTGATTCTGATAAATTTAAACACACAATTTAAGTGCATTTCCTGGTTTTAAAAATGGCTGCAATTTACATGTATTACTGGCATAAATATAGAATGTCTCATATGTATCGGTGATTAATGAATAAGCTAACTGAACAAGTGGCTAGATAGCATAAAAGAAAGAACAGTAAACTTCACATCAGAAGACCAATATAATCTGCAGGGCTGAGTGACAAGTTAAGAGTCTTGGTCATATCACAGCTGGCCATTTGCTGTGCAAGACATTTAACCTCTGTGTTCAGATCTCTCTTTTGTGAAGAGAGATTAGGAAAGGCCAAATAGCAAACCAAGAGTTCTAACAAAAAGTCTATCATTCAATACCCTTATAGAAGAGAGAAAGTATGTCTGGCCTTGAAGAGGAACATCAATTTGGATGAAAAATTCAATTATCCTGAGCTAGAAATCCAAGTCTCTTATACATCTATATAATAATGAAAATAACTGTGCTATCAAAATTACATCTGTTTTATTTTTTTCCTGTGCCAAAGCAAAAACACACTTAATAACCAGGGGTCACAAATTCAAAGCAGCCATGCTGTTTCAGGAGCCAAGCAAAAATCATAAATATGAGCCGGGTGTGGTGGCGCATGCCTGTAGTCCCAGCTACTCAGAAGGGTGAGGTGGGAGGATTACTTGAGCCTGGGAGGTTGAGGCTACAGTGAGCCCTGATCGCACCACTGCACTACAGCCTGGGCGACAGAGTGGGACCCAGTCTCAAAAACAACAACGAAAAGAAAATAATAAATATGTAAAGACCCTCAAATATAAAATAATATGACACGATGGGTCTATGGCTAATAAGAGAGTACATATCTCCCAATAGCCTTCACAATCAATTTTTTTTTTCCTAAAGACTGCCTCTCAAAGCCCATCTCTGTCTACATGTGGGCAGTGGGCCATAAGATTGTGACTCCCAGTCTTAAGCTGTCTATTATTGATAGCATTTAAGTGTCTTCTTTCATTTGGATATTGATGTTGTTCTCACAAGTCAGTAAACTACCTTATCAATGATCAATTTCCTCATCTTACTTGATGCTATCAACAGCATTTAACCCAGTTGATCCTTTCCCCCTGCTTGATAGCTTTCTTCACCTGGCTCCCTGGATACCACACACTCAGGTTTTCCTCTTACTTTTACAGCCATTCCTGAGTCCCCTTGACTAGTTTCTTCCCTTCTCCTAGATCTCCAAAAGCTGGAGGTCTCTAAGGTTTCTTCCCTTTTGTATCTACACACTCATTTCTTTGGTGATAACCAGTCTCATGTCTTTAAATAACAACCATATGCTGTCAACTACCAAGTTTATATCTCCAGCCAGGACCACTCTCCCAAACTCCAATTTCCTATATCCAACTGCCCATTCAGCATCTCTACATAGATATCTAATTGACATCTTAAGATTAAGACGTCCAAAACTGAACTCCTGATCCATGTGCATTGTTACCAATCACAGTTGATAGTAACTATTCTTTCAGTTGTCAAAGCCAAAAATCTTTGTGTCATCTTGACATCTCTATTTTTCTTACATTTCACATTTTGGTCTATTAAGATATCATCCTAGGTGTTTCCTAATAAATATAGAAACTGACCACTTTTCACCACCTTCATTGCTTCCATCCTTGTGCAAGCCACCATTCTCTCCTGAAGAGTACTACAGTAGGTCTCTGCTTGCATCATTACCCCATATGTACTATCCTCAATAGCAGCAAGAGCGATCCTATTAAAACTCAAGTAAAAGGCCAGGCGTGGCGGCTCATGCCTGTAATTCCAGCACTTTGGGCGGCCGAGGCAGGCGGATCACCTGAGTTCAGGAGTGAGAGACCAGCCTGACCAACATGGAGAAACCCCATCTCTACTAAAAATACAAAATTAGCCGGGCATGGTGGCACGAGCCTGTAGTCCCAGCTACTTGGGAGGCTGAGGCAGGAGAATCAATTGAGCCCGGGAGGTGGAGGTTGCAGTGAGCCGAGATCGGGCCATTGCACTCCAGCCTGGGCAACAAGAGTGAAAGTGTCTCAAAAAAAAAAAAGAAAAGAAAAAGAAACCCAAGTAAAATTATTTCACGCCTCTAGGCAAAGGCCTGCCATGTCTCCATGTTTTACTTGGAATCAGGCCATTGTAGCTTCTTATAAGGCCTTTCCAAATATCTCCCTTGCCACCACCATCTTCCCTGTCATTTCCTCTCCTATCACTGCCCCCTAGTTCAAGTTGCTTTAGCCACACTGAACACCTTACGATTCCTTGAACATACCTGTAATGTTTTTATATAACTCTTAATTATTCCCTCTGCAGGAAGATTATTCCCCTGGATATTTACTTGACAAAATCCCTTACCACATTAAATGTGGGCTCCATATTCTACCTTCTCAATGAGCAAACCCTGACCACTTACAAAACAGTCACAACCACACCACTGACACTGCTAATCCCATTTATGGTGCACCACAAAGGTTATCAATTTCTAACAGTCTCTATACTTTGCACTCACTGTCACTTAACACAAAATTGATGATTTTTCTTTAATGAGAGCTTTTATATATTTCTCAAGATAATTAATATATAAATATCTAAGTAAATCATGTATAGATAATGGTGAGATTTATCTACAATTAATAAAAATAAATCATGGATAACTGGCTGAGACTGATATACAGTTAATCAGTCATCCATTTACATTTTAACATTCTTAAAGCTTTGCTATTATATAAAAAAAATTTTTTTCCAGATTTATAAAAAGTTTTCTCCTACTGTAAAACAGAATAAAGAACTGATACAAATGTGAAATAAACCCAATATAAAGGTTTTGCAAAATGCCTGTTAATTTTACTTTTCCTTTTGTTAAATTTACTTTTTAATTGACAAGTAAAAGTTGTAGGCTGGGCATGGTGGCTCACACCTGTAATCCCAGCACTTTGGGAGGCCAAGGCGGGTGGATCACCTGAGGTCAGGAGTTCGAGACCAGCCTGGCCAACATGGTGAAACATCATCTCTACTAAACATACAAAAATTAGCCAGGCATGGTGGCGGGCACCTATAATCCCAGCTACTTGGGAGTCTGAGGCAGGAGAATTGCTTGAACCCAGGAGGCAGAGGTTGCAATGAGCCGAGATCCTGCCACTGCACTCCAGCCTGGGCGACAGAGTGAGACTCTGTCTCAAAAAAAAAAAAAAAAAAAGTTGTATATACTTATGGTGTGCAATATGGTTTTTCTGTATGTATACATTATGAAATGGCTAAATCAAGCTATTTAACACACATTAGCTCACATACTTATCATTTTTTGTGTGGTGAGAACACTTAAAATCTGTCACCAGCAATTTTCTTTTTTTTTTTTTTAATTTTTTTTTTTTATTATACTTTAAGTTTTAGGGTACATGTGCACAATGTGCAGGTTAGTTACATATCTATACATGTGCCATGCTGGTGCGCTGCACCCACTAACTCATCATCTAGCATTAGTTATATCTCCCAATGCTATCCCTCCCCCCTCCCCCCACCCCACCACAGTCCCCAGAGTGTGATATTCCCCTTCCTGTGTCCATGTGATCTCATTGTTCAATTCCCACCTATGAGTGAGAATATGCGGTGTTTGGTTTTCTGTTCTTGCGATAGTTTACTGAGAATGATGATTTCCAATTTCATCCATGTCCCTACAAAGGACATGAACTCATCATTTTTTATGGCTGCATAGTATTCCATGGTGTATTTGTGCCACATTTTCTTAATCCAGTCTATCATTGTTGGACATTTGGGTTGGTTCCAAGTCTTTGCTATTGTGAATAATGCCACAATAAACATACGTGTGCATGTGTTTTTATAGCAGCATGATTTATAGTCCTTTGGGTATATACCCAGTAATGGGATGGCTGGGTCAAATGGTATTTCTAGTTCTAGATCCATGAGGAATCGCCACACTGACTTCCACAATGGTTGAACTATACTACAAGGCTACAGTAACCAAAACAGCATGGTACTGGTACCATAGATCAATGGAACAGAACAGAGCCCTCAGAAATAACGCCGCATATCTACAACCATCTGATCTTTGACAAACCTGAGAAAAACAAGCAATGGGGAAAGGATTCCCTATTTAATAAATGGTGCTGGGAAAACTGGCTAGCCATATGTAGAAAGCTGAAACTGGATCCCTTCCTTACACCTTATACAAAAATCAATTCAAGATGGATTAAAGACTTAAACGTTAGACCTAAAACCATAAAAACCCTAGAAGAAAACCTAGGCATTACCATTCAGGATGTAGGCATGGGCAAGGGCTTCATGTCCAAAACACCAAAAGCAATGGCAACAAAAGACAAAATTGACAAATGGGATCTAATTAAACTAAAGAGCTTCTGCACAGCAAAAGAAACTACCATCAGAGTGAACAGGCAACCTACAAAATGGGAGAAAATTTTCGCAACCTACTCATCTGACAAAGGGCTAATATCCAGAATCTACAATGAACTCAAACAAATTTACAAGAAAAAAACAAACAACCCCATCAAAAAGTGGGCGAAGGACATGAACAGACACTTCTCAAAAGAAGACATTTATGCAGCCAAAAAACACATGAAAAAATGCTCATCTTCACTGGCCATCAGAGAAATGCAAATCAAAACCACAATGAGATACCATCTCACACCAGTTAGAATGGCAATCATTAAAAAGTCAGGAAACAACAGGTGCTGGAGAGGATGTGGAGAAATAGGAACACTTTTACACTGTTGGTGGGACTGTAAACTAGTTCAGCAATTTTCAAGTATGTTGTTATTAACTATAGTCACCATGATGCACAATAGTTTTCTTGAACTTATTTTTTGTATCTAATTAAAATTTTGTGTCCTTTGACAAACATCTCCCCAATACCCCAACTCTCAAATGCTGGCAACCACCATTTCAGGTAGTTTTATTTCTAAAGTATGTCTTACATGTAGATACTTGTTCATTTAGAGCTTATCAAGCAATATAAAAAAAATTATCCCAGAAACCATAAAACAAGTTCTCTCCATGTTTTACATAAGCTTTCAATGCTTAAAACTGAACAGATCAGCTACTGGAGGAAATATTATGGGTTTGTCTGACAGCTTCTGTTCACTGTCAAAATTCTGCCAACTAGTTGTTAGCACAGGCAAAAATTTGTCACTTAAGAGACTAATGCATTAAGCCTAAAAGTCAAATTGCTCATTAAAGATAAGGTGACTGTTTTTTAAGAACCAAAAGCTATGTTTTTATTAGAGGTAAAGCTCTCATGATTATATGGCCACTTATATCAGAAATTCAGCCACCTTACCCTCAGTGAACAATTTATCTTCCAGACTGGATTCATTGTCTATGCAACTGATATAGTTCCCTGGTTTAGAGCTTATTATCATGCTGCAAACTGAGTAACATATTCCCCCAGACATAAATGTCTACAGAGCTCCCCTTAACAAGAGTCAAGTGTCCTTTTCAACTTTGCTAAAACACCAAGATGCCCTGAATAAGCTTAATTGAATTATTTTGTTTTACTAAAGTATGCAAAGTTGTTCAGTTTCTTCTTTTTTTTTTGTAATAATCAGGACCCCAGGTGCACATAAATGAATTCTCTGCTCCTTTTGAAGAAGAAGATCAAGAAAAATTCCCCAAGTGCAAAATCAAAAAGAAAAGAAAGCTTTCTTTGCTTACTTGAGCTATACATCTCTTACCATTCCTGTAATGCTTTATTAAATAGTGAAAATAAGTAAAGAGCAGGTAATTATGCATTTTTCCTTAGCTATTTTCCTAAGGGAACAAACTTATTAAAATTTCTATGTATTTTAAAGTTATATTAAGTAGCATCTGCATGACGCTATGGTTGACAATGCCTTTCAATTTCATTTGCATTTTGTCTTTATAGCTCATTGAAAATCTGAAAGGAACGAACAATCATTGAAAGCTTATGAGGTCCAGCATTGTGTTAGGTGCTTCACCATATCACCATATTTCAGTAAGGTAGGTATCACTATATCTTAATTTTTAGATGCGGAACCTGAATATTTTCCTGTTGCATCATTTTTTATTGCACCTGATGTTTTCGAAAGGCAGAATAATCATCAGAACTAACTTTATTCAGTGCCTAGGAGCGGCTGCACTATGAGGTGCTGCACTACGAACTTTTATCTTATTGCTAATTTTCATTAAAGCCAAGTAAGAGAGGTATTATTGAGAGGTGAAGTGGCTGGGCTTCTGGGTTGGGTGGAGACTTGGAGAACTTTTCTGTCTAGGTAAAAGATTGTAAACACACCAATCAGCATTCTGTGTCTAGTTAAAGGTTTGTACACGCACCAATCAGGGCTCTGTGTCTAACTAATCGGGTAGGGGACTTGGAGAACTTTTCTATCTAGCTAAAGGATTGTAAATACACCAATCAGCACGCTGTCAAAATGGACCAATCAGCATTCTGTAAAATGGACCAATCAGCTCTCTGTAAAATGGACCAATCAGCAGGATGTGGGTGGGGCCAAATAAGGGAATAAAAGCAGGCCACCCTCGCCAGAAGTGGCAACCCGCTCAGGTCCCCTTCCACGTGGTGGAAGCTTTGTTCTTTCACTCTGTGCAGTAAATTTTGCTGCTGCTCACTTTTTGGGTCCGCACTGCCTTAAAGAGCTGTAACACTCACTGTGAAGGTCTGCGGCTTCATTCGTGAAGCCAGCGAGATTGTGAACCCACCAGGAGGAACGAACAACTCTGGATACGCTGCCTTTATGAGCTGTAACACTCACTGTGATGGTCTGCAACTTCTTGAAGTCAGCGAGACCAAGAACCCACCGGAAAGAACCAATTCCGGACACATTATTATACTTATTTTACAAATGAGGAAGCTGAACCTTAGTGGGATTCAATAAATTACCCAAGTCACATAAAAAGAACTGGCAGAATCAGGATTCTAGGCCGCACTCTCCACCAAGCCATGCTGCCAAACACGATGATCCCCTTTGCTTTTGCTTTTTTCTTTTTTCCTTTTTTTTTTTTTTTGAGACAAGGGCGACTCAGTCACCCAGGCTGCAGTGCAGTGGCACAGTCACTGCTCACTGCAGCCTCAGCCACCTAAGCTCAAGTGATCCTTCCACTTCAGGCTCCCGAGTAGTTGGGACACAGGAGCATACCACCACGCCCTGGTAATTTTTTATTTTTTGTAGAGAAGGAGTCTCGCTATGTTGCCCAGGCTGTTCTAAACTCCTGGGCTCAAGTGACCCTCCCACCTTCAGACTCCCAAAGTGTTGGCATTACTGGTGTGAGCCACCATGTCTAGCCTATGATGATCCTTCTTTGATCATCTTCACTACCTTGACGCTTAGTAAATTCTAAACAATATCTTGAATTTTACTAATGTGATGCTACTTTTTTAAACAATCACTTTTTTTTTTAATCTAACAAGACACTATTTTCCAAGTAATCCACATAAAGTGAGCAAAGACTTGTTTGGATACTAATTTTATAGTGTAAATTGGTACAAGAAAAGTTGCTGTGACATGTGGTTATACTTGTAAATGTTGTCCTTGGGCTTGCAAAGTATTCTCCAGAGTCAAGCAAATGCTCATATAATTAAGCCACCCTTTCTGAGGTAATCACTTTTTAACCAACTATTTTTTATACCAACTACATTCCTTTGGGTAATAATGAGAGGTCTGGTATTATACCCTCATACTGTATAGTGTTTTAATTAAAAGAGGTATCACTGAATACATAAATATTTTGCGTCTGTCAGAATCTATAATCATGCAAATGGAAAAGAGCTGGGAAAGAAAACACACATCTTTTCTGTTTATATTTCAATTAGGATGTGAAACTTCATTGCTAAAAGTAAGATTTCGGACTTTCTAAGAGAAATTAAGACGTGCCTTTTTTTAGTTCTAAGTTGAATTGACGTCTACCAACATTAACATTTAATAATTCCATGTTATACATATATGTTGCATTTGAACCTACAAAATATGACTAAACTAAGTCACCCATTTTTAGATTTATAACAATATGGTGTTATAAATCACAATGTTTTATTGCAATATTTCAATGTGGCATGGTGAATTAGACATTTCCAAATTGATAAGTTCTTCTGGAGTTGAAAAAACTTCTTAAAAGATACATGCACACTTTTCATGTCATCAGGTCATTCTGTAACATGTAATGATAAATGGTTAAGCATACCTGAAATACATTATTATAAAGTCTTATTAGCCTCAGAAAAATTAAGCTAAGACTAAAAGAGGGGATATTTGAAAGAAAAATAAATAAATCACTTTTGCTGTCCAAAGAGCTCTAGCCTAAAATCAGGAACCTGAGATTTGTGGTGTACACAAACTAGCCATGAGACGTTGGCCAACACTCTTTATTTGCTTGTGACTCAGTCACTTTAACTGTGAGACAGGATAACAAACTAAAGAAAAAATTACAAATGTGGTGGTATTTTGGGAGAGAAAAAGACTATTTACAAATCTGAAATATTTCTATTGTTATTTTATTGTTTGAATATAAGTACTTAACAGTGTGAACCTATTGAAAAAAATATTAAAACAGCACAGAAGGAAATATAAAGAAAACTTAACCTTTCATCCTAAATCCACTCTGCAGAAAAAAAACCTACTATGTTGTGTAATCAAATTTTAAAAAATAAGTGTGAAGATTTTCTATTACAGTGAAGAGTTGATTCTTAAAAATCAACTCATATTTGAAGGCTTGCTTTTCAATTCACTGCACTACTCAAAACTGCAATTCACTTTATAGAACCAGACGTGAAACAAAAGCAAATGGATCGCATTCAGAAGACATTGTTCAAGTTCTGGCATTACCCTTTATTAGCTGGGTGAAAAGGCTAAATCTCTGAGTATAAATTTCTCATCACTAAAATCAGAGTAATATTTCCTTTCAGCCTTGTTAATGAAAGAAGAGAATATAAAGATGCTCTTTAAATTATAACAAGCAGTATTATTTTAAGAGATTTGTTGTACAACTAAGTTGTTCCTGCTAATATAGTTATTAAAAAGTTAAATATTAATCTGTATAAATAGAGACAACAGAATAAAGTACACTTAAATTTAAAAATTGTACTCATGTGATGTTGCTAGGGGGGTCTTCCTTTTTTCTACTTTGTCAGCTCTCTGGGAAGGTTGAACGCTCAGTTGGAAACAAGGAAATATTTCTGCTTATCTCCTTCTCCTACCACAGTGGTCCCCAACCTTTTTGGCACCAGGGACTGGTTTCGTAGAAGACAATTTTCCATGGTTGGAGAGTGGGGGTGGGTGGGTGGATAATGGTTTCAGGATGAAACTATTCCACCTCAGATAATTAGGCATTAGCTAGATTTCTCATAAGAAGTGCACAATCTAGATCCTTTGAGCAGTTCACAATAGGGTTTGAGCTCCTGTGAGAATCTAATGACGCTGCTGATCTGACAGGAGGTGAAGTTCAGGCGGTAATGCGCGCTTGCCACTGCTCACCTCCTGCTGTGCAGCCTGGTTCCTAACAGGCCATGGATAGGTACCGGTCCATGGCCCACGGTTTGGGGACCCCTGTCTTACAGCATTCTCAGTCATACAGCCTGTTCACACCATCCCAACAACTACACACTGGTAACAGACAAAAAAAGGGGAGAAAAGAATGACACTAAATAGGTCCCTTCCAACGTCTCTCCTTGGATGAAGCTGGAAGCCATCATCCTCAGCAAACTAACACAGGAACAGAAAACCAAACACCGCATGTTCTTACTCATAAGTGGGGGTTGAACAATCAGAACACATGGACACAGAAATGGGAACAACACACATTGGGGCCAGTCGGGGGGTGGGGGGTGGGGGTTGAGGAGAAGGAGAGCATTAGGACAAATATTTAATACATGCGGGGCTTAAAAGCCAGATGACAGGCTGATAGGTGCAGCAAACCACCATGGCACATGTATAGCTATATGACAAACCTGCACGGTCTGCACATGTATCCTGGAACTTAAAGTAGAATTTAAAAATAATAAAATAAAATTAATTCCCTTTCACCCAACAAACTATTCTTTTTTTTATGCAATAAAATTTATTTTAAAAATACGTGCCCGTTAAAATACCGGGTAGCTTTTCAATATTTCTTTTTTTGTTTTTTGAAAGGCAATTTTATTATTTTATTTTATTTATTTTTTAAATTTTACTTTAAGTTCTGGGGTACATGTGCACAACGTGCAGGTATGTTACATAGGTATACATGTGCCGTGTTGGTTTGCTGCACCCATCAACTCGTCATTTACATTAGGCATTTCTCCTAATGCTATCCCTCCCCCAGCCCCCACCCCCGACAGGTCCCGGTGTGTGATGTTCCCCTGCCTGTGTCCATGCGTTCTCATTGTTCAACTCCCACTTATGAGTGAGAACACAAACTATTCTTTAGTTGAATAACACATCTCTTTATATTCTAGGAAATAGTATTCTGAATAAGTTAATTTTGCCTCCAAAAGCATCAAATATTCTTTCTCTTGAAATTCATTCTCTTGAAACTGACCCAATAGTCCCATAGACAGTTGTTTTTGGGTAAACATAGATATTGATCCTTCTGGTCTTAAAGCTTGAAACTTATATTTGTTTTATCTGCATTCCTTCCTCAGGAAATGATGTTCAGGCCTCTCAGAAAAAAAAAAAAATCAAAGAACTGAAACTCACCAGATCAGGGCATCCAGATAATGAGATGCCAGATCCCTCATTCATCATGATTGTTTCCTTGCCCCTCTATAGTTCCTGTCTTCTAATACATTGTTACATTTCTTCCCCACTATATAAAAACCTAATTTTAGACAGTCAAGGAGAGGGATTTAAGACTGAGCTCCCATCTCCTTGGCTGCAGCACCCAATTAAAGCCTTCTTCCTTCTTCCTTGGTAATACTTGTCATCTCAGTCATTGGCTTTCTGTGCAGTGAGTAGCAGAACCTAGACCAAACCCCTGCTGTTTTGGGGACACTTTCAACTGACAAAATGTGGGCTTCTAAAAATTAGAGAAAACCAAATGTATGGTTTTAATAGACTTCCTTTCTCTTGTAAGCCAATGTTTAACTTCTTAAAGTGATAAATAATAGTTGTTTAAAGAATTTTATTAATTGAACAAGATCTTTTATTAAGAAATAGATATAAAGAAACATCAATGGAGAGTCAATTCATCTTAAGCTGGGACAAAGAAATCAGGTTTCATAAATTGTAAAAATGACTTCATTGTCAAGTCTCTTAATTGGTCCCTCCTCTATAAATTAAGTTTAACTCACAAGTGTGTCTAGAAGACACTCCACTCTACCTAATGTCTGCTGTCAACAAAGCCAGAGCTGGGAATTGCACATCTAATGTACATGGCCTCTAATTGTTATTTTGGCTGTGAATAAAAAGGAAAAAAAAGAAGTCAAAAATGGAATTTTCAAGGGCCCACCTGCATGCTTGACATACAAAAATAATACATTGTGTGATACACAGTGTTTGTATGAATGAACTTTTCTACTCTTGTGTGCTCTCAAATGTAACTTACTCTGTCAAACAGGATAAATTAAAAACAATCTTCTTAACCACTGTAATTTCTATTATTATTCCATATTCAGCTTTCTCATGCATTGTCTTTTATATTATCTCCCACTTCCATTATAAGTCATTAAAATAAAGGATTGTCATAACTTTCCTCTAGTTCCAATAACTTTAAGTTTATCCTCTGTTCTTTTAAAGAGCTGAATGTACATTAAATTACTGAATGCAAAAGTAAAGAAAATACTTCCTTTTTTCACGCATTGTTAAAATGTTAATGCTATTACAAATTATCTGTCACTGATACTCAAAAACAGCTGTAAAAAGATAAAAAACTCAGTGACCCACAAATGATAGTAAGGTTTGGCACCATTTAAACTAAACGCTAGCAGTTTCCTTCAGCTCTGCCCTTATGTGTGTCTCCTGTTTTCAAGAGCTGTCTGCTGTTCCTAAAGATTCTAAGGGTTGAAGCCCGTACCCTAGTCATTAAAGATCATCTGACACCACATGTTGCTAGGCCAGAGAGGCACAGCTGTAGTATGCTCTAGTACAACCTGTCAGCTCTCTAAACAAAGCACATGTAAGTCCTGCTGATGGAGGAAAATCTGGAAAGAAAACCCCACACTTTAGCAGGAGCATTTTCAAATAGAAAAGATAATGTAAAAGTATTATTTTAATTCAAAGACTGTGATGCTCAATAGTGTAATGTTACATCATGGTTTTCTTCCTAAGTGATCTTGATCTTCATGCAGCCATAATAACTAAGGTTTCAAATAAGAAATGATATTGTTCATTAATATAACATAGCACCATCATGTTAACACGACATGCATTCTTTCTAGCTGAAGAGCTGGATAAAACCTTGCAATATAAATAACAAGTCTTAGGCAAGACTCTGATAACTATATAATAGACCTGCTAACAAAACAGTGTTTCTCAAGTTTGCATTGGCTAGTCTGGGTCCTTGGTGGTTCCATATGAATTTTAGAATTCTTTTTTATATTTCTGTGAAAAGTAACATTGGCATTTTGATAGGAATTGCACTGAATCCATAGATTGCTTTGGATGGTATGGACATTTTAACAATATTAATTCTTTCAATTTAAGAACACAGGATATCTATTAATGTCTTCTTTAATTTCTTTCACTGATGCATTATAGTTTTCAGTGTAGAGATCTTTCATCTCCCTTGGTTAAATTTGCCCCTAAATTTATTAATTTTGATGTTGCTTGATATGGTTTGGCTGTGTCCCCAGACAAATCTCATCTTGAATTGTAGTTCCCATAATCCCTACATGATGTGGGAGGGACCCAGTGGGAGGTAACTTAATCATGAGGTTGGTTACCCTCATGTTGTTCTTGTGATGGTGAGTGAGTTCTCACAAGATCTGATGGTTTTATAAGGGGCTTTTCCTTGTTTCGCTTGGCACTTCACCTTGCTGTTACCATGTGAAGAAGGACATGTTCGCTTCTACTTCTGCCATGATTGTAAGTTTCCTGAGGCTTCTCCAGCCATGCTGAACTGTGAGTTGATTAAATATTTTTCCTTTACAAATGACCCAGTCTCTGGTACGTCCTTATTCGCAGTGTGAGAACAGACTAATACAGTAAATTGGTACCAGGAGTGGGGTGCTACTGTAAAAATAACTGAAAATGTGGAAGCGATTTTGGAAATGGGTAACAGGCAGAGGCTGGAAAAGCTTGGAGGGCTCAGAAGAAGACAGAAAGAGGTGGGAAAGTTTGAAACTTCCTAGAGACTTGGTGAATGGCTTTGACCAAAATGCTGATAGTGGTATGGACAATGAAGTCCAGGCTGAGGTGATCTCAGATGGAAATGGGGAATTTGTTGGGAAGTAAAATAAAGGTGACTTTTGCTATGCTCTAGCAAACAGACTGGTGGCATTTTGCCCCTACCTTAGAGATCTGTGAAACTCTGAACTTGAAAGAGATGATTTAGGGTATCCAGGAAAAGAAATCTGTAAGTAGTAAATCATTCAAGAGGTGATGTGGGTGCTGTTAAAAGCATTAAGTTTTATGTATTCACAAAGATATGGTTTGGAATTGGAACTTATGTTGAAAAGGGAAGCAAAACATAAAAGTTCAGAAAATTTGCAGCCTGATGATGCTATAGAAAAGAAAAACCCATTTTCTGATAAGAAATTCAAGCTGGCAGCAGGAATTTGCATAAGTAAAAAGGGAGCCAAATGTTAATTGCCATGACAATGGAGAAAATGTCTCCAGGACATGTCAGAGGTCTTCACAGTAGCCCCTCCCATCACAGGCCTAGAGGCTTAGGGGGAAAAATGTTTTTTTTTTGGCTGGACCCAAGGCCTTGCTGCTTTGTGTAGTCTTGGGACTTGATGCCCTGTGTCCCAGCCATGATTAAAAGGGGCCAATATATAGCTCAGGCTGTTACTTTGGAGGATGCAAGCCCCAAGGGTTGGCAGCTTACACATAATGTTAGGCCTGCAGGTGCACAGAAGCCAAGAATTGAGGTTTGGGAACTTCTATCTAGATTTTAAAAGATATATGTAAATGCCTGGATATCCAGGCACAGGTGTGTTGCAGGGATGGAGTTCTCATGGAGAACCTCTGCTAGTGCAGTGCAGAAGTGAAATGTGGGGTAAGAGGCCCCAAAAAGAGTCTCCACTGGGGTATTGCCTACTGGAGCTGTGAGAACAGGGCCACAGTCTTCCAGATCCCAGAATAGTAGATCCACTGACAGCTTGCATCATGCACCTGGAAAACCCACAGACACTCATTGCCATCCTGTGATTGCAGCCAGGATGGTGGGCTGTACCCTGCAAAGCCACAGGGATGGAGCTGCCCAAGGCATTGAGAGCTCACCTCTTGCATCAGCACACCTTGTATGTGAGACTTGGATTCAAAGATCATTTTAGAACTTTAAGATTTGACTGCCCCACTGGATTTTGGACTTGCATGGGGCCTGTAGCCCCTTTGTCTTAGCCAACTTCTCCCATTTGGAATGGATGTATTTACCCAATACCTGTTGACTCATTGTATGTAGGTAGTAACTAACTTGCTTTTGATTTTACAGGCTCATAGGCAGAAGGGGCTTGCCTTGTCTCAGACAAGACTTTTGGACATGGACTTTTGGTTTAATACAGGAATAAGTTAAGGCATTGGAGGACTGTTGGAAGGGTGTGATTTTGTTTTGAAACATAAGGACATGAGATTTGGAAGGGGCCGGGGTGGAATGACATGGTTTGGCTGTGTCCCCACCTAAATCTCATCTTGAACTGTAGCTCCCATAATCCCCATGTGTCATGGGAGAGACCTGGTGGGAGGTAATTTAATAATGGGGGTGGTTACCTTCATGCTGTTCTCATGATAGTGAGTGAGTTCTCACGAGATCTGATGGTTTTATAAGGGCTTTTCCCCCTTTTCATAGGCACTTCTCCTTGCTGCTGCCATGTGAAGAAGGATGTGTTTGCTTCCTCTTCTGCCATGATTGTAAGTTTCCTGAGTCCTTGACATGCTGAACTGTGAGTCAATTAAACCTTTTCCTTTATAAATTACCTAATCTCAGGTATGTCTATATTACCAGAATGAGAAGAGACTAATACCCAACTGTAAATGGTATTGCTTTTAAAATTTCTCCTTTTGAGAGTTCATTGTTAGTGTATAGAAATGCATCTGATCTTTCCCTGTTGATTTTGTACCCTGTGACTTTACTGAATTCGTTTATTCATTCTAGTAATTTTTTTTTGGCAGAGTTTTTAGAGTGTTGTGTATATAAGATTATGTCATCTTCCAATAGAGACAATTTTACTTCTTCTTTTCAATTTGGAAGCCTTTTATTTCTTTCTCTTGCCTCATTGCCCTGGCTAGGATTTCCAGTACTATGTTGACTAGCAGGGGCAAGAGTGGACATCCTTGCTCCTGATCTTAACAGAAAAGATTTCAGCTTTTCACTGGAGTATGATGTTATCTGTTAGCTTGTCATATTTGACATTCATTATGTTGAGGTATATTTTTTCTTTACCTAATTTGGTAAAGCTTGTCAAATTGTTTTTCTGCATCTGTTGAGATGATTCTATAATTTTTATCCTTCATTCTGTTAATATAGTGTATCTCATTTATTGATTTGTGTATGTTGAACTGTTCTTGCACCTCAGGGATAATTTCCATTTGATTATGGTGTATGATCATTATAATGTGCTGTTAAATTTGAGTTGTTAGTATTTTGTTGAAGATTTTTGCATTTGTGTTCATCAAGGATATTGGCCTGTAATGACAAAGCTTGGGGCATCACATTTTATGATTTCAAAGTATATTGCAAAACTATAGTAAACAAAACAATATGGTGCTGGTATAAAAACAGACATATAAACTGATAGAACAGAATACAGAACCCAGAAATAAATCCACATGTATAGAGTCAACTAATCTTAGACGAGAGCACCAAGAACACACAATGGCAAAAGGATTGTCTCTTCAACAAACTGTGTTGGGGAAACTGGATAGCAAGACCCTCAAAATAAAAGTGCACCCCTACACCACTTACAAAAATTAACTTGAAATAAAGACTTCAGTATAAGACCTGAAACCTGGCCAGGTGTGGTGGCTCATGCCTGTAATCTCAGCACTTTGGGAGGCCGAGGCAGGTGGATCACCTGAGATCAGGAGTTCAAGACCAGCCTGGCCAACATGGTGAAAGCCTGTCTCTACAAAAATACAAAAATTAGCCAGGCATGATGGGGGGTGCCTGTAATCCCAGCTATTCGGGAGGCTGAGGTGGGAGAATCGCTTGAACCTGGGAGGTGGAGTTTGTAGTGAGCTGAGATTGCGCCACTGCACTCCAGCGTAGGAGACAGATCAAGACTCCATCTCAAACAACAACAACAACAAACAAACAAAGTGAAAAAACACAAACTGACACCAAAAACTCCTAGAAGAAAACATCAGGGAAAAGTTCCTTGACATTGGTTTTGGTAATGATTTTTTTTATGACACCAAAAGTACAACAACAAAAGCAAAAATAAACAAGTGGAATTGCATTAAACTAAAAAGCTTATACACAGCAAAGGAAACAAACAATAAAATGAAGAGGCAACCTAAAGAATGAAAGAAAATGTTTATCTCGTAGGGGGTTAATATCTAAAATATATAAGAAACACAACTCAAGAGTAAACAAAAACCAAATAATACAATTTAAAAATGGGTAAAAGAATAGACATTTTCCCAAAGAATATATACAAATGGCCAAGGAAAGGTGCTCAGCATCACTAATCATCAGGGAAATGCAAATTAAAATCACAAGCAGATATTACTTCACACCTATTTAGATGGTCATTATCAAATTTGAAAAGATAACAAGTATTGGTGAGGATGTAGAGGAAAGAGAACACTTGCACACTGCTGTTGGGGATATAAATTGGTACAGCTGTTATGAAAAAACAATATGGAGTTTCCTCAAAAAAATTAAAAAATAGAACTACTATATGATTCAACAACCCCTCTTCAGAGTATATATCCAAAGGAAATGAAATCAGTGTCTCAGAGAGATAGCTGCATGCTTATGTTTATTGCAGCATTCACAATAGCCAAGATATGGAAACAACATGTCAGTTGATGAATGAATGAATGAATGAATGAAGAAAGAAAGAAAATGTAGTATGCAATGGAATATTATTCAGCAATTAAAAAAAGGAAAACCTACCATTTGCAGCAACTTGAATGAACTTGGAGGACATGGCTTATTTAAGTCAGTCAAAGAAAGAAAAATACTGCATGATTCCATTTACGTATGGAATCTAAAAAGAAAATATAATGTTGTACTTAGAGAAACAGAATAGGATGGTGGATGCCAGGAGCCAGAGTGTGGAAAATGGGGAGACATTGGTTAAAGGATATAAATGTTCAGTTGAATATTCAGATGAATAAGTTCTGAAGCTCTAAAATACCGCATAGTGACTACAGTGTTTTGCAGACTGGACATTTACTAAGAGAGTAGATGTCAAGTGTTCTCATCAAAAAGAAAAAAAAAGGATAACTATTTTCAGTGATGAATGTGTTAATTAACTTGACGTAACAGTCACACAATGTACACATATATCAAATCATCAGGCTGTGCACTTTATTATAAACAATTTTGTCAATTATGCTCAATAAAGTTTAAAAAATACCCCAAAAATAAATATTGGAAAATTTTACATTTTTACATAAAATTAAGTTTAACTTCTCTAAATGATTTCAGAGAGAAAGGAATCAGGCAGTATGAATCTGTTATTACTGCCATTGACACTACCGATAGCTAGGAAAAATGTGTTATCTGTATAGTGGGAACAGTGCCACTTTATACTGAGGTCTGTCTTATTAGCATTTCTTGTTGAATATTCCTCATTAATAATATCAAAATATATGTCAGACTTGTTGAAGTTTTCCTCGTGAAACATGCTTTAGTTGTTTCCATAAATTTAAACAGTGAGAGAAGAACAAGTAACAGTTTACAAAGGTGTATTTTAAAAATGTCGCAAAAAACACGATCCAAGATGGCTAATTAGAAGCAGCTGTGGTCCACGGTATTCACGGAGAGGAACAAGAAAGGGTGAGGGAATTCAGCATCTTCAATTGAAATATCCAGGTTCTCACATTGAGACTGACTAGGAAAACAACTCGACCCACAAAAAAATGAAGAAAAGTGGGGAAAGGTGATGGCCCGTGGGGGAGTGGCATGGAGCCAAAGGAAGCCCCACCCTCATCCAAGGGAAGTGGTGAGTGATTGCGCAACCCCACCTGAAAAACCGCACTTCTCTCATGGATCTTTGCAACTCATGGATCTGGATATCGCCTCATGAGCCCACACCACCAGGGCCTTGGGTCTGACACACAGAGCTGTGTGGAGTCTCAGCAGAGCAGCCACTCAGACACACACAGACACCCAGGAACTTTACATGCTCTGGCCTTGGGATCACCAGTAAGGTGGGAAATCCATCTGCACATATCCCTAGGAAGGGTGCTGAATCCAGTGAGCCAAGCAGCATTGTTCTGTGTGCCCCACTTCCTGTTACCTCACAAGTTAAGACCCACTGGCTTGGAATCCCAGCTAGCCAATGGCAGCAGGTTGCAGTCTGCCTGAGATGAGTCTGAATTCCTGGGTGGAGGGGTGGCCACCATCTCTGTGGTTTGGTAGACTCAGCTATTCCAGCCTGCCCCCTGTGGAGAATACAGATGGTCCAGATAAGGAAGGGCCCCCCAACAATGCAGCACAGCTGCCTTGCCAGTTGGTGGCCAGACTGCTTCTTTAAGTGGGACGCTGATCCATTGTTTCTCACTGGGCAGGACCTCTCTGAGGGGGCTCCAGCCACTCCAGCCAGGGTACTATGAATAGAGCTCTGATCCCTCCCTGTGATGGAGCTTGCAGTGGAAGGGGTGGCCTCCATCTTTGTGGTTTGGCCAACTCAGCTCCTTCAGCCTACCAGCTTTGGAGAATTCAGGTAGTCCAGATGAGGAAGAGAGCCCCTCAATGCAGCATGCCTGCTCTACCAAAAAGCAGCCAGACAGCTTCTAGGGGCAGATCCCTTATCTCATTCCTCCTGACTGGGTAAGACCTGCCAACATGGTTATCCAGTCTCCTCCTACAGGTGCATGTAGGCTGGCAACAGATCAGTATCCCCCTGGGATGGAGCTTCCAGAGGAAGGATCTGGCTGTTATCTTTGCTGTTTCATGGCCTTCACTGGTGATACTTCCAGGTATGGGAGAAACTGAGGCAACTAGGGTCTAAAGCAGACCCCCAGCAAATTGCAGCAGCCATACAGTAAAGTAGCCTGACTGTCAAAAGGAAAACAAACAAACAAACAGAAAACAACAACATCAACAAAAAAGACCCCACAAAACCCTTATTCACAGGTCAGCAACCTAAAAGATTGAAGGTAGGTAAGCCCACAGATATGAGGAAGAATCAATGCAAAAACGCTGAAAACTCAAAAAGCCAGAGTGCTTCTTCTCCTCCAAAAGACCACAACACCTCTCCAGCAAGGGCACAGAACTGGGCTGAAGCTGAGACGGCTGAATTGATAGGATTAGGCTTAAGAAGTGGGTAATAACAAACCACATTGAGCTAAAGGAGCATGTTGTAACCCAATGCAAAGAAGCTAAGAATCATGATAAAACAACACAGGAATTGGTAGCCAGAATAGCTAGTTTAGAGAGAAACATAACTGACCTGAGGGGGCTGAAAAACACAACACAAGAACTTCGCAATGCAAACACAAGTATTGACAGCAGAATAGACTAAGCAGAGCATAGAATCTCAGAGCTTGAAGGCTGTCTTTCTGAAATAAGACAGGCAGACAAAAATAGAGAAAAAAGAATGAAAAGGAACAAACAAAACCTCTGAGAAATATGGATTATGTAAAGAGAGCAAATCTATGACTGACTGGGGTACTGGAAAGAGATGGGGAGAATGGAACCAACTTGGAAAACATATTTCAGGATATCATGCAGGAGAACTTCTCCAACCTAGCAAGACAGGCCAACATTTAAATTCAGGAAATCCAGAGAACCCCAGTAAAATACTCCATGAGAAGATCAACCCCAAGATACATAATGATCAGATTATCCAAGATCAAAATGGAAGAAAAAATGTTAAAAGGGCAGCTAGAGAGAAAGGCCAGGTTACTGACAAAGGGAAACCCATCAGACTAACAGCAGACTTCTCAGTGGAAATCCTACAAGCCAGAAGAGATTGGGGGCTAATATTCAACATTCTTGAAGAAAAGGATTTCCAACCCAGAATTTTGTATCTGACCAAACTACATTTCGTAAGTGAAGGAGAAATAAGATCCTTTTCAGACAAGCGAAGGCTAAGGGAATTCATCACCACCAGGCCTACCTTGTAAGAGGTCCTGAAGGAAGCACTAAATATGGAAAGGAAAAACTATTGCCAGCCACTACAAAAACACACTAAAGTACACAGACTAGTGACACTATGAAGCAACTACATAAACAAGACTACAAAATAACCAGCTAGCATCATGATGGCAGGATCAAATTCACACATAACAATATTAACCTTAAATGTAAATGGGCTAAATGCCCCAATTAAAAGACACAGAATGGCAAGATGGATAAAGAGCCAAACCCATTGGTATGCTGCCTTCAAGAGGCCCAGCTCATGTGCAAAGACACACATAGGCTCAAATAAAGGTATGGAGGAAAATTTACCAAGCAAATGGAAAATAGAAAAAAGCAGGGGTTGCAATCCTAGTCTCTAATAAAATAGACTTTAAACCAATATGGATTTAAAAAAGACAAAGAAGGGCATTACATAATGGTAAAAGTTTCAATTCAAAAGCTAACTATCCTAAATATATATGAACCCAATATAGGAACACCCAGGTTCATAAAGCAAGTGCTTAGAGATGTAAAAAGAAACTTAGCCTCCCACACAATAATAGTGAGGGACATTAACATGTACTGACAATATTAGACATGTCATCAAGACAGAAAATTAACAAAGATATTCAGGACCTGAGCTCAGCTCTGGATCAAGTGGACCTAATAGAAATCTACAGAAATCTCCACCCAAATTCAACAGAATATACATTCTTCTCGTTGCCACATGGCACTTACTCTAAAATTGATCACATAATAGGAAGTAATACACTCCTCAGCAAATGAAAAGAACTGAAATAATAATAAACAGTCTCTCAGCACAATCAAATTAGAACTCAAGATTATGAAATTCACTCAAAACCACACAACTACATGGAAATTGAACAGCCTGCTCCTGAATGTCTTGTGGGTAAATAATGAAATTAAGGTAGAAATCAAGAAGTTCTTTGAAACTACTGAGAATGAAGAGACAGTGTACCAGAATCTCTGGGACACCGCCAAAGGGAAATTTATAGCATTAAATGCTCACATCAAAAAGCTGGAGGCATCATGCTACCCAACTTCAAACTATACTACAAGGCTACAGTAACCAAAAAAGCATGGTGCTGGTACAAGACCAGACACATAGACTAATGGAACAGAATAGAGAACTCAGAAATAAGATTGCACAACTACACCTGTCTGATCTTTGACAAAATCGACAAAAGCCAGCAATGGTGAAAGACTCCCTATTTAATAACTGGTGCTGGGAGTGCTGGCTAGCCATACGCAGAAAATTGAAACTAGAACTTTTTCCTTACACCTTACACAAAAGTTAACTCAGTATGGATTAAAGACTTAATATAAAACCCAAAACTATACAAGCCCTACAAGAAAATCTAGGCAGTATGATTTAGGACATAGGTGCAAGCAAAGATTTCATGATGAAAATGCCAAAAGCAATGGCTACAATAGCAAAAATTGACAAATGGGATCTAATTAAATGAAAGAGCTTCTGCACAGCAAAAGAAACTATCAACAGAGACAACCTACAGAAGGGGAGAAAATTTTTGCAATCTATCCATCTGACAAAGGCTTAAATTCCAGAGTCTACAAGGAACTTAAACAAATTTACAAGAAAGAAACAAACAACTCCATCAAAAAGTAAGCAAAGGACGTTAACAGACACTTCTCCAAAGAAGACATACATGTAGGCAAAAAACATATGAAACGAAGCTCAACATCACTGATCATTAGAGAAAGGCAAGTCAAAGCCACAGTGAGATACCATCTCATGTCATCCAGAATGGCTATTATTAAAAATTCAAAAAACAACAGATGCTGGTAAAATTGTGGAGAAAAAGGAATGCTTTTACACTGTTGGTGTGAGTGTAAATTAGTTCAACTATTGTGGAAGACAGTGTGGTGATTCCTCAAAGACCTAGAGGTGGAAATACCATTTAACCCAACAATCCCATTACTGGATATATACCCAAAGGGATATAAATTATTCTCTTATAAAGATACATGCATGCCTCTGTTCATTGCAGCACTATTCACAATACCAAAGACATGGAATCAACCCAAATGCCCATCAATGATAGACCGGATAAAGGAAATGTGGTACATATACACCATGGAATACTATGCAGCCATAAAAAGGAATGAGATCTTGTCTTTTATGGATGAAGCTAGAAGCCATCATTCCCAGCAAATTAACACAGGAACAGAAAATCAAACACCACACGTTCTCATGTATAAGTGGGAGCTGAATTATGGGACCACAATTATGGACACGTGGGGGAAAACAACATACTGGGGCCTGTCGTGGTAGGGGGAAGGGGAGGGAGGGCACCAGAAAAATACCTAATCGATGCTGGGATTAATACCTAGGTGATCTGATGATCTGTGCAGCAAACCACCATGGGACACGTTTTCCTATGTAACAAACCTGCACATCCTGCAATATACTCCTGAACTTAAAATAAAGTTGAAGAAAAAAAAATACATGCTAAGATTGTGAACTAATGTTCATAATACGGTCAACTTTACTATTATGTTGTCATTTGTGCATATAATAGATATTTATTTTGTGCTCTTGTAGATGTCAGCTTGGCTCATATTACCAAAGCTACATACTAAAACTTTTTAAGAAACTCTCTGACTTCTAGACCTCACTTCTAAATAACAGCAAAGTAACAAACTGATTTTACCTGATTCCCAGTGTAAATAGAGAATATTAAAACAATGTATAATAAAGATCTGCATACATGGATATAGTACTTACAGAAAAATAAAACTCATATGTAAGATACTAAGATGCATGGAGGAACAAGATCTAAATGTCAAAGGTAGATAGCAATTTGTGGTTAGACCTCTAATGAGAATTAGCAATAACAAGAAATTACTGGTGGATACTGAATTTCTGATGTTTCAGCCCTGTGCCAACTTGCTTCTAAATATAAAATGCAGAATTTTTACTTGGGTACCCTGGTGATTATTTAGTGACAAAATCTGCCTGTTTATTTTTCCTTAGTAAAATTATCGCTCTGATACCTCTTCAAGGTCCCTCTGCTTAGATTTTGATTAGTTTCTCTTTTTAATTTTTACATTTAAAAAAATGTTTGTGGGTACATAGTAGGTGTATATATTTATGGTGTATATAAGATGTTTCGATACAGGCATGCAATGTAAAATGATGACATCATGGTGAATGGGGTATCCATCCTTCCAAGCATTTATCCTTTGAGATACAAACAATTCAATTACACTCTTTACTTTAAAATATATAATTATTATTGACTATAGTCAACCTATTGTGTTATCAGATATCAGGTTTTATTCATTCTTTCCATTTTTTCATACCCATTAACCACCCCCACCTCCCTCACACTCCCTACTACCTTCCCAGTCTCTGGTAACCATCTTTCTACTCTCCAAGTCCATGAGTTCAATTGATTTGACTTTTAGATCCCACAAATAAATGAGAACATGTCATGTTTGTCTTTCTGTGCCTGGGCTATTTCACTTAACATAAGGATCTCCAGTTCCACAGTTCCATCCATGCTGTTGCAAATGACTGGATCTCATTCTTTTTGATGGCTGAATAGTACTCCATTGTTTATATGTACCACATTTTCTTTAGCCATTCATCTGTTATGGACACTTAGGTTTCTACTGAATTTTAGCTATTGTAAACAATGCTGCAACAAACATAGGAGTACAGTTATCTCTTCGATGTACTGATTCCTTTTCTTTTCAGTATATGCCCAGGAGTGGGATTGCTGGATCATATGGTAGCTCAATTTTTAGTTTTTTGAGAAACCTCCAAACTGTTCTCTGTAGTGGGTTGTACTAACTGTTATTCCTAGCTGATTAATATGTCCCAAAGTAAATATGATTTTTCCCCTTCCAATATAGTTATAGGAAAAATGCATTAAAACAGCTATTATATTCTAGAGTTATTCATTCTTTGGCAGTTTTATATTTTTCAAAGTTCACAAATGGTAACTTCTTTTCAGCTAGAATGGAAAGTTTTACAACTGACTCAAGGGACAGACAGAAAAACACTGCTTGTTGTCTAATTTAAATAGTTAAGAAAAATCATAAAATTTCTTTTGTTCAACTTACCTCAAACATTACATCCCAAAGTAGAAGTCAAGTGTTATTACTTTTACATTGAAGGGACTACTCATTAATAAAATCAACTGCCAAATCAACTTTAAACTGCAATAAATATCCAATTAAAATAAAAAGCAATAGATCTTTTAAAGTGTATTTTTAGTGCATATATTTTTTGATACGGAACAGATATTCACGAAAGTTTGCTACAATGTGAATTACCATGAAGCCCAATTTCCTATAGACAGAAATGGCAGAGAGGTAGAGGATGTTTTCGGGATACTTAGGGGAGTTTTCTTTCTGGCATCCAGCTCTGGTGACCATTAGCACTTGTGAAAAGTAGGGAAGAACCAATTACCACACCCATAATATTGCCATAGCAGCAGCCATACCAATGAGCAGGTGTAGGCTTTGCTACTGCAGCTAGAATACTCTACAACTTCAGCAGGCCAGGGCTCCTGACAGAGCAACTGGAAGCTTTCCTACCCACCAGTGCTAACGGGTGATTCTTTATCCTTAATAATGAAAATGTAAGAAATTTCCAAATCCTTACCTAAGGATCATCAGAAAATATAATTTGCTCCATGGCTTTATTAATTCAATAGGAGAAAAATTCATGCAATTTATGTGATGTTTATTATGTGATTGTTGGACTGCAATAACTAGAAAAAATAAAGTTGTCAGAAGTCACAATAATTTCATGGAAATTTGTTCAGCTAAAAATGAATTTTAGATGACTGGAATAGTTGATGCATCAGAGAAGAAAAGATTCAACACTAGTAACATTACTTTAAAATGGAAATTTAATACACAGAATGGCCAAATTTCATAATCCTCTATGATGCTAATTTGTGTCCAAAGAATGCCTGCCCCTTCCTTTTCAGTATTGATGATTATGTAAATAATTTCTAGATCTATTATGAATGTTGACATATTTAGAATTATGACTTTAAAAATCACATGGAAAAATAGAAAGGCTACTCTCCAAGTCTGCAGAAAATGAAGTCCACATAAATTCTGTTACTATCAGTTGACCTCCTGTCCTGCTGTAATAAAGTGTTTCAAATATTTCAAATAGTACTCTCTTGCACAGTGTTCCATAGCAAACAGCAGTTGTAGTGCATTGACTTTCAAATGGCTTTTACTCTAGTGGTAGAGGTTGTTTTACAATATAAGTACACTCATATTTAACACAGCGTCCTGAGAGAAAAATAATACGTTATGGATGGCTAGTTACTATTTCTACCTGAAAAACAAAGATCTGTTATTTGCTAATACATAGGATACAGTCATAAATGCCTGTAGTTGAAAAGCTACAAAAATGTCTAGTTCTCATTTTGAAAAAATAAGGTTGCTCATAGCAATTGTATCTTCCTTATGTCTCTCTATACATGGGAGTGATTTTGCGAGGTTGTTTTAACATAAAATATCCCATTTTTCAAGATGTAAAAACCAATTCTGACTTATTTAAAGCACACTCTAACATAGGCAAAATGTGCTTATATTTCAGCCACTTTTCTACATGTTAGGAATACAGAAGGAACAAAGCGGACAATGATCACATGGAGCTTACACTCTAATGGAAAGAACAAAATATTCTAATTTATAGCTGTTTACCTAAAAATATTTTGTGCTTTTGCAATTCACAGTTGCAAAGATAAGGAATCAACCTAAGTGCCCATCAATCAATGAGTGGATAAAGAAAATGTGATATATATGTGTGTGTGTATATATATATATATATATCACATTTATATATATATATCAATCACATTTATATATATATATATACCACATTGATATATATGTGGTATACACCATAGCATACTAATCAGCCATAAAAATAATAAAATAATGTGTTTTGCAGCAACTTGGGTAGAACTGGTGGCTGTTATTCTAGGTGAAGTAACTCAGGAATGAAAAACCAAATACTGCATGTTCTCACTTATAAGTGGGTGCTAAGCTATGGATATGCAAAAGTATATAGACTGGTATAATGGAAAGACATAGGAGACTCAGAAGAAGAGAGGGTGAGAGGGAGATGAGGGATTAAAAACTACCTATTGAGTAGAGTGTACGCTACTCAGGTGATGGGTGCACTAAAATCCCAGACTTCACCATTAGACAATTCATCCATGTAACCAAAAAATACTTGTACCCTGAAAGCTATTGAAATAAATAAAATTAAATTAAAGAATGACAATAAATACAAATATTGCATGATTTGAAATACATTTTGAAATGCTGAAATATAGTTTTGTCTTGAAATACATTCTACAAGAATTTAACATGCTAGTATAAATCATTAAATCACACAATCCCCATATGATGTGTCATTGTCTACTGTATTTCTGTCAGGCCGCTCTTATTATTGGCCCATCTACTAGCCATCCCACTTCTCCTGATCACTCCAGTTATTCCTCCTATTAGAATTCTTTTTGTCACCCTTTTTCTGTCTGCTTAGGAAAATCCCAGCCAGCTTTTTAAGCAACTGTGATAGTTCTTTTTTACTGAAATTTTATAGTACCAATTAATTAAATAATTATAGTTTGTATCTGATTAAAAATATAAATCTATTCTCAAATATAAATTCTCAAATATAAATATAAAATCATTAAAATTATCACATACAAAACCATCAAATATGTCTGGAATGAATTTTAAAGATCATTTAATCTAACTTAATTTTACAGCAGAGAAAACAGCGCTAGAAGCCGAGTGATTTATCACAGTTACCCAGGTGACAAAAGTAGCATTGAGTCTGAATCCTCAACACTTGACTTCTAATAAAGTATTTTTCCACTCCATCAAACTACTTGTACGAATTTGTTTTAATGTTTTTTCCTAGTCACTAGTCTTTATTTTACAATGATAAGATGCAATCAAATTCCAAATGCTTTAGCCTATGTTATTAATATTATCTCTCAGGGTTATCTCATCTATTCAGAAGCGACAGCATTTTCTTTTGTAAGTTTTTTTTTCCCTCTATATCTGCCTCCTCAAAAAATGCTTGGTAATTTTTTGTCTGTTTAACTATAATTTGGCTGTTTTTGTCTTGTCCTGTACTTGTTAAGCTGTTATTGTTTCAATTCATCTTTGTCAGAATCTTCCTTGAGATAAGCAACCCCCAAAGATCATAATAGCTTCTTACTGCTCCCTCCATGCACTTTAGTCTTCAATATGACAGACCCATTCCATAACAGTCTCTTTTTTCTGTGGACCCAATAACATGGGAAGTGCTGAACTGCAAAGTACTGGCTTTGTGTATGTATTTGTATATTGTAACAAATACTCTCTCTTATTCAGGCTCCTCTGAGGCCTCTGCTCGACGAGACCTGATCTTGGGTTTCCCTCTATCCTTGTAGAATCCAGTTTGAGTAAGAATCCTGCTAAATTAGTTTAAAGAAAGTCCCCCATCCTTGGTGTCTGTCCTTATCCTCACCTTCTATATCTTATCATCCTGGCCTGTCTTCAGCAAGAAGTCTGTTGAGTTGGCATAGCAGGAATCCTCCTTACGCCTGATGTTTCCTCTTAGTAATATTCTATCCACTGACCCCATGCTGCTCCTTGGATATCAATCTCCACTTGTCCTTGTTGGAATCAGAGTCAAGCCCAATCTTTCTTCCCCACTGCACCGAAAGTTCCCATTGCAGTGGTCCCTACACCTATTGCAATGGTCCCTCCTTAGGACCTTCCTCACCTTATTTAACAAGTGTTATAAATAATGCTTTTCTTTAACAGTTATAACATATTCAACTAATATAAATGTATCATCTGATTGCAACATCTTAGTGTAGGACAGAGCACAGCCTGTATAACCATAACAACTACTGTATTGAATTCCAAACCCAAGGTACATTGTCAGAGCAACTGTGGAATTTTACATTTCTTCTGTACATGCCATCACTTATCCCACAGTCCATTACCCCTAGCACGCCGAGATAAGCTGCATGAGTTTAGTCGCTTCCTTTCTGGCTGTAACAGAACATGGAATTGGAAATAATGTGGTGGGCAGAATTGTCAACTATTATTTAAACACAGATTTTTCTTTTGCTTTGATTGCTGACTTTATTGTGCCAATTTTAAATAGCATTTCTTTTTTTAAAGGGAAAATGTTGACTTAAGGTTTCCTTGGTAAAAATTAATGATTTCATTTAAAAATAATTGTATCATAATAACTAAAAACTCTTAATTAAAGCATAGTATTGGAAGTTAAGGATCCAAGAATAGTAAGACTGCTTACATGAGAATGAAGTAAAAACAAAGCAAGTACCTTAAATTTGCTTCTAGGAAATCCTAAAACAGGATACCATATAGCATATAACAAAATGTAAAACATTTCAGAGGTCTCAGGAGCCTAGATTAGGAAGGAGACATTGGTAGCATGGAATGCCTCATAACAGAATGCCTAGAAGGCATTTCCATCTAAGGAATTAGATCTGATTTTTGAAATAAAAACAGGATTGGCTTCTGATTTCCAGAAATTTGGGTAATTGGGAGGATACCAGTATGTTGCCCAAGTTACTGGAAGTGTGTACGTACTTAAAGAGAATATGGTTTAAGGCAACCATATCCCACACACCAGTGAGTGAATTGGAAATGACTAGATTCACTAATTTTTGTGCATTTGCCATGCCAAGGCCTGGAGGAAAATTACTCTTTATGTCCCCAGGAGACTGGTAGAGAAAAGAATTCCTAACTGAGAGCCTCATCCTGTAGTCTTCTTGAGAAAAATCTGTATGGGCATTTTCTCCTCTCTATGATTTCTTTTCTTCTAAATCTCAAACTGCAAAATAATATCAACTTTTAGCTACAAAATTTTATCAGTCGTGGCTAAAATAACCATATAGAATATGAGTTTTAAATATAAAACTCCCTCCAATTACTAGGTGCATCTTAAAAATGACAAAAATTTTGTACAGTGTATGTATGCAAAACACATCTTGGAAGTGTATAAATGTTCCCTGAATGTGACTATAGAGAAATAGATGACTTCTGCACTCTATATTCTTGAATTGCTTCTTACCTACAGCTTTTTGTATGCCCTTCGCATCAAGATTTGCACTTGAATGATGTTGATAATAATCATTTCTTGGAGTCTAATATCAAGATTTTTTAGACTGCTGCACCCCCCCAACACAAACTTTCCCCTAGCTTGCACACTCAAATGCACACATGTCAAAATTTTTATAAAAATTTTGTATCTAGTCTCAGCATGAATATGAATATAGAGGAATTCTTAGGTAGCATGCTCTTTGCAGTAACTGCACTTCCTGACTGACCATTAATTACCCAGGATCAGCTTTGTACTACATATACCTGGGGTTTATCATTTTCTAGGGATTCCTGTGCATTAGGTGTTCTGGAGTTAAATTTCATGCTCTCAACCCCAAGAATTGAAGCATGTAACCAGGCAAGAAAACACATGCTCATAATACAAAAATAAAAATTGTATCTTCAGGATTTTTAAACTTGACCTGCTTTCATTTGAACACCTGCAAGCATGCGTTACTAAACTATCTCTATAAGTATGGACGAATTTTGAATAGTCACAGTGATTATAAACAAAAGAAGAAAACAGTGAGAATCAGTCAGAGAGAAAGGTAAGAGAAGGAAAATCAGAATTAATGAGATGCAAATTACTGCTAAATTTTAAAAATATATATTGCCTCAACCCGTCCTTCACATAAAGATAAATATATCACAAATCCTTCCTAGTACATTATTTTAAATAGCTATATATATATATATATATATATATATATATATATATATATGAGGGAAACAGGTTTGAATCCAAATTCAAACTCCAGGCATCAAGAACATATGACAGAAGCACAGCTTTCTTATATTTTTTATGGTCATTTACAATACTTGCAGTCAAGTATGATATATATTTTAATTAACTTTGCATGGGATTCCAACATTTTGCAGTTCAATAACTATGTTATGAATAAGATCATGGTACTGAGAAAGCTTTTTCAGCATCAACTTTAATAGTACAATGTTTAAAATATAAATTATAATATCCCTGATAATAGGAGTGTGAAAAGGCAAAATTTAATATTTAGTTAAGGCAAAATAAATGTGCACTTCCAAGATATGTGATTCTGGGTCAATAATTTAACTCACTTGTTCTTCCTTATCTGTAAAATGGGAATCACAATAATGTCTATATCTAAAGGGGTACTGTGAGGAGTACAACCAACAAAAAAATACCCCAAACACATCCTAGTGTACTAAATAAAATGGCTCTGAGTATTCCGTTTCACCACGGAGAGGATTCAGCATGTGTATGTATAAAATCTTCCTTATCCATTCTTTGTGTTGTGTGTCCCAATTAAAAGTATAATGTAGTTATAGCACCTAAACACTAACAATTGTCTAGCTAATTCCTGAATCATTGTTTCATGCCAAAAGTAGTTGGTACTAAATGGCTAAACTGAAATCTGGCAGCGCAACTAGAAACAGAGCTGAGAAGTAGGGTATAGAAAGTCCAAGATGGGTTTGGAAACATGCAGCAATTTCAAAATGGGTAAAGGTTCGGTTTCATCCTACGATTATCTGAACTTAGAAGACAAATTTTAGTTTTCGTAAGAGCCTACTATAATTCTTTCTTTGCAACAAAACTATAAATTTACCATTATTTTTTACTTATAATATTTATTATAAGATGCTGGCAAATAGGCTGCATTTTTAGAACACCAGAAAATTTTGCCCATAACAATTTCAGAGATTTATTATCATATACTTGTCTTCTGACTTAAAAAGATGTTTAGAATACCAAGAGTTGCCTTCTTTGGAGGTTAATACAAGAACGTGGCGCATCTAATTCATCATGTATGACAAAACTGGCCTTTGCATTTTGGGATAAAAGAGGCCCTAAAAATTTAGGAATTTCATTTAGGGTTAAGTTTGACTTTCATTGTAAAGGCCAGGATTACATGCAATTTATTCTTGCTTTCATAAAATTGTAGCCTTTCAGTTTTGACTGCCAGTACATTAGCAAAGGGAATTAACACGGCACTCTAGTATTGTCCTGCTATCTACTTGCATATTTTAGAGATAAGGTTGAAAGATGTAGCCCTGAATGATTATAAAATTGAAATAAAATTAGTCATTTTATATAGCTTTCATCTCATACCCGAATAATATTTTTCTTTAATCTAAACCTCCAGAGATTAATTTCCATAGGAACAATGTATTTTTAAGTATAAGTATATTTCCACTGTATATGAAAACAACACTATCCTTCTGACATTTAAGAATATATATATATATATATATGTATATGATGTCTACGAAGACTTAGAGAAAAATAAGGGAGACAGCTGCAATTCTAAGCAGTTAATATAAAGACTTACAGATAAGAGGGATTTTAAGTATGATCTTATAGTACTATGTGTCATGTGATGGTTTTGACCTAAGTATTGATGTGACTGCACTTAATGGATTTATATACTTGATTTGTATTTTGAAAGCTGTTCCTTTTTAACAGTATGAAATGCCTTTAAAATAAGTTCTACAAAATGATTTTTTTCTGTCAACTAATGAAAATACGATGCTAAATGATAAATATCCTAGTTTCATCTTACATGGTTTCATTAAATGTGTAAATCCATTTAAAAAGTAAACCCATACATAATTCTTTGACTATTACTAAGAGAATTTAAGGGATCAACTAAAAGAAACTATTTCAATTTGTGTCCTATAAGAATATTTCCCTTCCAGCCTACTTTCTACAGATAGAGCCAGTGTATAAAAATCTAAGAAAAATGAGGAAATATCAAAGGCTTATTTGATGTTACATAATGATGCACTATATGATTCACCCGAAAGTTACTTTCTTCATGTATTTTGTTTCTTAATTTTTAAAACATGATTTCTATACAGATATTTTGTGTGAATATCCCTATTGTGTGAGATCAGATGCAAGCATTTTGAACAAGTTTTGATGTGCTGAAGATCACTAGCTTTCATCACAATAGTTTTGACGTAGTTTTTTTTTTTTTTCTGGAGTATAGGCAAATAAAATGAAACCTAACAGTACCCAAAACTCTCCTTATAAGAATTTCAAGCTAAACTAATTGTTTTTTGGGGACTCTTCCAAATTAAATTCAGTCACTTCTACTCACTTCACAAGTTACCATCAATTTCCTGTGTTGTGTGTGGAGTAGGTCACCCAAATTCTAGCATAATGTGATCAAGGAAATCTAGTTGTATACTAAAAGCTTTTGTAAGTCTGTTATTAAGCACTGAACAAGAGCAAGCGAACACACACACACACACACACACACACACACACACACACAATCCAGGAGATACAGCTTTGGGATATGCACTTCTGAAAGGAGAAAAGCAGCTAAGCCAGCTAAGGTGAAATCACAGATGGCTCTCACCGAGTTTATTGGATGTTTTAATGGCTGCATCAAAACATCAAAAGCTATAAGTAAGCCTGTGGCTTTTTTTTTTCTTACTTTCTAGTCTGAAAGAAATGTGGAGTATCATGATTAGTAATATTTACGTGTTTTCTCTTAACTATGGCATGGCTGTTATTCTGTTTTCAACTGTCAGATGTGAACTACTAACTGATAGATTAAAGATTGTGTTGTTAACTTCTAATACAATAGTTTCCTAATAATTGCATATCTTGCTTTTGATATTCAGGGGGAAAGCATTCTGTTTTTCACCATTATTATGACGTTAGCTGTAGGTTTTACATGGATGTTCTATCTTAAGTTGTGGAAGTTCTTTTCTATTTGTATGTTACTAAGAATTTTTATAAGGACCGGATGATAAATTTTGTCAAATATTTTTCTTATATTTGCTATGATGATCATGTGCTTTTCCTTTTTCAGTTTTCTTAATATGGCAAAATATATTAATTGATTTGTTTTAATAGACTTTATTTTTTAGAGCAATTTTAGGATCACAGCAAAATTGAGAGGAAGGTACAGAGATTTTTCGTATACTGTCTACTCCACACATGCATCGTTTCTCACGTGTTAATAGCCCCCACCAAAGTGGTACATTTGTTACAATTGATGAACCTACACTGACACATCATTATTAGCTAAAGTTCATAGTTTGCATTTGGGTTCACACTTGGTGTACATTTTATGGGTTTAGACAAATGTACAATGAAATGTTTCCACCATTATAGTATCATACAGAGTAGTTCCACTGCCTTGAAAATCCTCCATGTTCCAACTGTTTATCCTCCCCACTCCAACTCCAGACCCCTCACAACCCCTGGCAACAATTAATCTTTTTACTTTGCTTTTTCCAGAATGTCATCTAGTTGAAATCATACAGTAAGTAGCATTTTCAGATTGACTTCTTTCACTTAGTAATACACATTTATGTTTCCTCCATGTCTTTTCATGGCTTGATATATCATTTCTTTTAAGCACTGAATAATATTGATAGATTTTAAAGAGCTAAACCATCCTTGCATCCTAGAATAAACATCACTTGCAAATGATGTATATCATGTTGGATTTGACTGATATAATTTTGTTTAGAATTTTATATCTATATTCATTAAGGATGTTGATCTTTAGTTTTCTTTTTTTCTTTTGGATTTTTAGTTTTGTTTAGTTTCTTTATCAGGGCAATGCTGGCCTGATAGAAGGAATTGGGAAGTATTCTCTCCACTTTAACTGTCAGAAAAATTTTTTATGGAATTAGTGTTATATTTCCTTTAAACACTTAGTAGAATTGACAAGTGAAGCCATATGGGCTTGCCGTCTCCTTTGTGGGAAGGTTTTAAACAAGGAATTCCATTTCCTTAATAGATATAGGACTAATCAGCTTATCTATTTCTCCTTTAGTGAACTTTGGTTGTTTGCATTTTTCGAGTAATTTGTATATTTCATCAAAGTTGTCAAATTTATATGCATAAGGTTGTTCAAAATATTTCGTCTTTCTTCTTTTAATGTCTTTCTAATCTGTAGTGATGTCACTTCTCTCATTGTTGATATTACAAAGTTGCATCTCCTCTTCTTATGTCTGGCTAGAGATTTATCAGTTATAATTTTACTGATTTTTTTCAAAGACAATGAACCTTTGGGTTGACTGATTTTCTCTTGCTTTTTCTGTTTATAATTTCACTGGTTTTGGCTTTGAGCGCTATTGTTTTTGCGGGTGATTCCTTTGTGTTTAACTTGTTCTTCTTCTTCCAGTTGCTTAATATTAAGCCTGAGGTCCTTGATTCTTTTCTTTTTTTTTCTTTTCTAATAAATTAAGACTGAGGTCATTGCTTCTAATAAAAGCACTATAAATTTCCCCCTATTTCCTGGTTTAGTAGCATCACGGAAATTCTGACAAATTGATTTTTCCATTTCCATTCAGTTCAAAATGTTTTATTTTGGTACCAATAATTTATTTAAAAATGTGCTATTTAGTTTTTAATTATTTGGAGATGTTTCCAGGTATATTTCCCTTATTGATATACAGTTGAATTCCATTGAGGTTACTGAAAATACTTTCTATAACATGAATTCTTTTAAATTTATTGAAACATTTTATAGTCCAGAATGGAGTGTATCTTAGTAGATTCTCTATGTGCACTTGAAAAGAACGTATTCGGCTATCATTGAGTGGAATGTTCAATAAATGTCAATTAGGTCAAGTTAGTTGACAGTGGCAATCCAGTCTATTATGTCCTCTCTGATCACAAAACTTGTTGAATCAGTTGATGAAAGAATATTGAAATTCCCAACCAAAATTGTTAATCCTTCTACTTTTCCCTGCAGTTCTACCAGTTTTTACTTCATGTATTTTAAGGTTCTTTTATTAGTTGCACGAACATGAATAATGAGTATATCCTCTTGATGAATGCATGCCTTTAACATTATGAACTATCTTGCTTGATCTCTATTAGTATTATTTACTCTGAAATCTATTTTTCTGATATTAAATAGCCATTTCTACTTCTTTTAACTATTGTTTACATAATGTATAATTTAAGATGTGTTTTCATAATTAAAGTGCATTTTTATAGAGAGCCTACATTAAAATCTTGTCTATTTTTATCAAACCTGATGATCTGCATTTTAATTGAGGTGTTTAGACTGTTTATATTCAAAGGTGTTACTGGTTGTTTGTAAGAATTTGTTTTTTTGTTTGTCCTATGTCTTTCCCGTTTTCTTGCTATTTGTTTTTTTGTTTGTCCTATGTCTTTCCTGTTTTCTTCTTTCTCTGCCTTCTTTTCTGAAGGTGGGGTATCCATCCCCTTGAGCATTTATCCTTTGAATTACAAACAATCCAATTATACTCCTTAAGTTATTTTAAAATGCACAATTAAGTTATTAGTGACTACAGTAGATTGAATATTTTTTACAATCAAATTTTATTTCTGTTGTCTTTTTAGATACAACTTTTTCATTTTAGTGGTTGCTTTACTACTAATAGTATATACCTTTAACTTATCACAGACTGCCTTCAGACTATATTATCCTACATCACGTATATTATAAAAACCTTGCAATAATATACTTCTGACCAGGCGCAGTGGCTCACACCTATAATTCCAACACTTTGGGAGGCTGAGGCAAGAGTATCAGTTGAGCTCAGGAGTCTGAGACCAACCTGGGCAACATAATGAGACCTTATCTCTACAAAAAAAAAAAAAAAAAATTCTATTAGCCATGTGTGGTAACCCTTAGTCCTAGTTACTTGGGAGTCTGAGCCAGGAGATCATTTGATCTCAGGAGGGTGAGGCTGCAGTGAGCCATGACTCAGCCATGGCACTCCAGACTAGGCAACAGAGTGAGATCCTGTTTTCAAAAACAATACATATATATGTTTGTGTGCCTGTGTGTGTATACATGCGCATGTGTGCCCATGCACACACACACTTCTATATCTCCTCTTCCAAACTTTTATGCTATTATTGAAATACATTTTACTTATATATGTTATAAACTCCAATATATTGTCATTAATGTTTTATAAATAGCTAAGTTATTTTATAATACAGTGTGTTAAGGCTGTTCTTGCGTTACTATAAATACCTGAAACTGGGTAATTTAAAAGAAAAGAAGATCTTTAATTGGCTTACGGTTCTGCAGGCTGTACAGGAAGTATAACATCAGCATCTGCTCTGGAGTAGGCATCTGGAGGCTTACAATCATGGCGGAAGTTGAAGCAGGAGCAAGAGAGGCATGGGGGAAGTGCTGCATACTTTTAAATGATCAGATCTAATGAGAACTCACTCATTATCACAAGGACAATAACAAGGGGGATGGTGGTAAACCACTCACGAGAAATCCACTCCCATAATCCAATCACCTCCCACCAGGCCCACCTCCAAAACTGGGAATTATATTTCAGTATTAGGTTTGGGCAGGGCACACATCCAAACTATATCAGAGAGTTTAATGATACAAAAACTAGCTTGTATATTTACCCTGTAGTGATCATTTGTAGTGTTATTCTTTGTTTTTGTATGTCCACATTTCCATCTGGTGTTTTATTTTTCCCTGCCTGATGGACTTCAGCATTTCCGTGGGCCGGTGATAAATTCTTTCAACTTTTGTATGTTGGAAATATCTTTATTTTGCCCTCAGTTTTGAAAGATATTTTCATTGGATACAAAATTCTAGGTAGACTTTTTTTTTCTTTCAGCACTTTAAAGACAGCCCTCCACTGTCTTTTTACTTGCATTGTTTCAGACAAGAATTCTGCTGTCATCTTTGTTTCTCTCTACATAGTGTGTCTTGTTTCTCTGGCTGCGTTACATTTTTTTTTCTTTATCATTGAGTTTGAGCAATTTGATTATTATGAGCTGTAATGGGTGCAGTTTTCTTCATGTTTCTTGTGCTTGGATTCATTAACCTTCTTGACTTGATGAGTTCAGAGTCGTCATTAAATTTGGAAAATTTTTGCCATTATTAACTCAAATATTTTCTTTCTGCCTGTCTCACACCTCCTCTCCTTCTTAGACTCTAGTTCCACATAAATAAAGCTACTTGAAATTGTCCCAGAGCTCAGTTACTTTTATTGTCATTTTAAAAAGTCATTATTCTGTATTTCATTTTGAATAGTTTGTATTGCTATGTCTTCATATTCACTAATCTTTTCTTCTTGCATGTCTACTCTAACATGAATTTCATCCTGTGCATTTTTACCTCTCATACATTTTGGCTGGCATTTCTGGAAGTTTGATTTGAGTCTTTTTAATATCTTATGTATCTCTACCCAACATTTTGAACCTAGAAAACACAATTACAATAACATTTTAAGATGCTATTATATGCTAATCCTAATATTTGTGTCAGCTCTCAGTTTCTGTTGATTATTCTACTCATTATAGCTTATGATTCCCTGCTTATTAGTATGTTCACTAATCTTTGCTTCTATGTCATTCATTGTGAATTTCACTGTGTTGGCTTCCAGATATTTTTCTATTTTTATAAATATGATCAAGATTTTATCTGGGATGAATATAAGTTACTTCAAAAGTTTGATTCTTTCAGGCCTTCTTTTTGTTATTTGTTAGTAGATGCAGAGTTATGCTTCATCTAGGGGCTAATTATGTCCCACTACTGAGAAAGACCTTTTGGAGTACTCTGTTCAGTGCCTTAGAAACATAATTCTTTTTCCAGTCTGACTAGTAGAAACAGGCACTATTTCTAGCCATGTATAAGAACCAGGCATTATTCTGTAATACTACTGGATGGCTTTTTCACAGTGACTTCAGATGCTTCCCTCACAAATACACTGATCAACAAGCTGATGAATACCCAAGGGAGACCCTGTGCTGATCTCCAGGGTATTCTCTCCATCTAGCTCTTTTCTCTTCAGTACTTTGCTCCAGAAATTCTAACCATCTCTGTCTCCTTAACTCAGGAAGTTATTCAGGCTCCACCTGGATTATCTTTCTCTGCATTGTGTTCTGGCAACTCCCTCAAGATTGTGAGCTGTGGAAATTTTAGGTTTACTTCACTTGTTTCCTGTCTGTCAGGGATCACTGTCCTTTTTTGCCTGAGGTCCATAATTTGACAGATGTCATTTCATATATTCTCTCTCTCTTTTAGTTGTTTCAGAAGTAGGATAAATCTAGTCCCTCTTATTCCATCTTGGACAGATGTAAAAATGTTCAAGTAGTTTTTAAAACCACAAATATGCTTCTGAGGGTGTATCTGGTGAAAACACTTATGTTCTGACTTAGAAGTGTCAGGCTACTTTGATTCTTCCAATCTTCAGATATTAAAGGGAAGTTGTAGCAACTTTAGATCCAAGACAATATTTATTCATGGCTATTACCTTTCTTTTGGAAAGATGGTATGAAAGTATATGCAAAATAGAAGCTCACACATTTTTAAAAGAACCAGTATTGTTTTGTCATGAAATATTCTAGTGATAATTTTCTCAATGTGAGAAGAATTGCATAATATCAGATGGACAATCTAAAATTAATGGCGACTTTATTGACCTAATTAGACAAATAGGCACACATAGTGAATTTAATTCAATTGTATGAGCTATAAAAGTCATATTTGCATGAGGAAATTAAGCTTAATTTTTAAAATTTGAGAAAAAAGAGAAAAAACTACTGAAACTGTACCAGATGTTGAAATTATACAATGAATAAAGGAAGATCTTATACAGTCGCTAAAGACAGAGAGAAACAGTGTAATGATGTTTTGAACTAATGAGACCTAGTTAATAAATCTAATCACTCTTCCTATCCATACAGTAAAAACTCTGCATATCAGAATAGATTATTGAAAGAAACACAGTTTCCAAATATATTTTCTTATATTAGTTTTTTTAGATTCACATGAATTTGGAAGAAATGAATTAGTAAAACTGGTAGCAATCATTTCACAAGCAGCCAATATGCAGACCGTCTACATTTTGTTGCATCTATTTGAACTTTATATTTTACTTTTTTCATAAAGAATAAACTTTGGGCATTTAATATTTGTCCCTGTGTTTGATGCAATGGGAAATTATTCTGATTTTACTCTTTAGATAGGCTTATTTTAGAAAACATAAGCAAAAGCAAAGCAAATAGTTCCATATATTAGGTAAGAAAAAATTGTGTAAATTCGACTAGATTCCCGAAACTGTAACAACATAGTACTGATATGTACTATTATTTAAAAGAAAATAATAGTCATGTATATTGAGCTATAGACGTAGAAAAAGTGCTCAGACTATTGTCCTCCTTCTCATTATATATATGGCAGTTGAATGAAAAAAGTCAGAGTCTAAACCTCTCCTCACTCACAAAATCTGTATATAGTTTTAGGAAAATAGATTCCTATTAAGTGGCAATTACCTAATCAAGTATCTAGCATATCAATCCAGAATCTTAAAGGTGATTATAGTTTCATAAAAGGGATTCCTTTGCCAGTTGTAACTTTGAATTAAACTATTTAAATCATTATATAAATAATTACAATAACATATATTTAAAATTATTAAATTAATAGTAAATCTAATAAAATGAGAAGATAATAAGCATCCTCATTGAATATTCTTAAAAAATGAAAAGGTAAAGTGTTAAGCCCATTCAATTACGATCATTTCCTTAATAACATCGATGCAGATAAGAAATAAGCTTTATTCATGTATGGCTTCATGCTAAAATCATATAAATATTTTGCCTATAGCTAAACTTAAATAATCCCTTTCAGGACCCTCAAAAAACAAAAACAAATAAACAAACACCTTCAAATATTACCTTCAAGTTAATAGCAAATGATAAAAATTATTTTAGGCAAGGAACCATTCTCAACTATATTATACTATATTATATAATATATATTATATTATATAAATGTTTTGATTTCAAAAAAGAGCTAACTATATGTTTCAGAGAGGAGCAAGTCAAGAATGAAAATACGATTGTAAGTTGTAAGGGTTTGAGATAATTACAAGTGGTCAAATGTGTATCTTTTGGTGTATACATTAGCTAAATGTTAAGAGGGTTAAAATTACTTAGGCAAATCAAATTTTCATCTCACAGAACTGCCAATTACAATTTAACTCTATGTTCAACTACTTTCTAATTCTTTATGCACCATTAATTGAGGGGTACTAAGGATAAATATTGCCCCAATAGACCCCATTTTGCTGAAACATCGCACCCCCTCTGGATTGTACATAACTTGAAGATCATAAGGTACCTGGATAGGACAAAGAAACTATAAACCAAAAATAAAATTTAAAGGCCCCCTGCAACCATCTGAATGGGCTCCCTCCTCAGCCAGAGCCCCCTAAAATTTAACATGAAAGACTGGTTCAACCCATTATGGCAAGTGGGTGTTGGGCATGCTTCATTATACCCTGCCAACATTAACAGCAATACATTAAGTCTGGTAAGAAACATCAACAATCTATTCTCTCTAAAGTCTGCTACTTGGAGGCTTCATTTGCATGAGAAATCCTAGGTCCTCACAAGCGCTTATAATAATCTAGACTTTCCTTTCTATAGATAATAACTCTTTCAACCAATTGCCAATCAGTATATGTTTGAATCTACCTATGGCCTGGAAGCCCCTGCTTTGAGTTTTCCCACCCTTCCAGATTGAACCAATGTAAATCTTACATGCGTTGATTTATGTATTATGTCTCCCTAAAATGTATAAAATCAAGCTGTACCCAACCACCTTGGCACGTGGCATCAGGACCTCCTGAGTCTATGTCATTGGGGCCGCCTTAACCTCGGCAAAATAAACTTTCTAAATTGATTGAGACTTGTCTCAGGTACTTTTTGGTTTACAAAACTTCTGTTTCTCTAAAAAAATGGACAGTAACAAAAAGTGTGACAAGGTTTAGTGGATATTCTCAGCACTGATTCACTATGGAGATTGAAAAGTGTATCGTTAAATTAATTGAAGCTGATAATATGAAATAACACACAAATTCAGGAATGAATGTTCTTTAGGAAAAATAATTTATCTTTAAGATAAATGACAATAAGAAGCTGGGAAATATAAGTGTAAGAAATTGTACAAAATTACAAATTATAAGAAAATAATTTAGCTGTCCATGAAAACTGGGTCTTCATGTTGTACTGGGTCTTCTCTAGTAAGACATTTGTTATCTCTATAGCCATGAAAAACTGAAAATATGTTCCAATATTGTTCCTCACTTGCATATTTCCTTTTTAAACAATGCTTTTTTTAAAACTTGAATTTCCTAAGCTTGACATATAATTGGGATAACACATCTTGCTGAGGTATTTTCTACCTGAATTAGCATACATTGAAAAATACTTATTTCCCTTTCAAATTCCTTATCTTCATTAAGCTGTGTCTATTTAATTACATTGCCTTACAGCTTGCTGAGTTTCATCTTATACAATTAAATGTTCTTCTAATTGTCCAATAACTTTTCTGTTCAGCTTTGGGTGATTTATTTTAGACACAGAGTTATTTCAGTTTAAACTCAGTAACATATCTACAGTGGGATTCCAGTCTAATTTCTATAATTTATCTAGGACTCTCAGGCAGGAAAAGACAAAACTCAAGCTTTCTTTAATTCAATGAAGAATAACAAAAGGTCTTCACTGAGGAAAAACAGTGAAGATAGCTTCAGTTGGAATTGCTGCCATATAATGTATATGAACAACAACAATTTGATGGTTCCAGTAAAGTTAGTAGCATTTTGGGTAAATAATTAATTGAATTAAGGTACTCCAAAGTAGAATTTTAAAATCATATATTGACTTAAAATCTAATTTAAACTATTTCCATATAGTTTTGAAGAATCGGATAAGGTGCCCCTAGTCAGTTTTAGAGTATCCTAAAGAGAGACACACAGAAAGTATCCCAGAACTAATGTCTTTAAACCTCACTACAGTCAGAAAAAAAAATCTAGTTAACAGCGGAGTGTTGTGCCAAGAATTTCCGATTTTAGCAAGGAACAAAGAGTGACCTATAAGTCTCAAGAAAAAGCTATTCTTTCAAAAGAGCAAATTATGTTCAGGGGGGAAAAATGGTAAGACTAGAAGCATAACAAGGGTTGACAGACATCTTTAATTATGGGTGCTATTCCAACCCAAGCCTAAAGGAACTAAGCTTTCTCCTCTTGCTGGTAAAATTTGAATGCCACTAATCAATGATTCTTATAGCTTGGGCCGTGAAATTCTTCTACAATAACATTCCCATGGTTAGGGACAATTAACAAAGGGAACAGCTAAAAGAAAGACAAAGACAAAGCCCATTTTTAAAGGAAAAAAAGATTTCAATAGCTGAGGTGAAATATTTAGCTATGTTTTAAGAAAAGAATGCATCTGTGATGTTAGTTTTATTATTGTCCTAATTAACAGACTTATAATATTTTGTTTGGATGGAGACATATCCTTAACCACAACTTTGTTATCACCCTTTCTCTTTAGAGACACTCAACACATTCAACGAAAGGGCCATTAAGAATGTCTCCATTTAGAAACCCTATTTTGGGTGATTTTTGTTAATTGTTCACATTATGATTGTTATTACTTTTTTTACTAGAAAATTTTTGAGGATAAGAATTAAACACTAATTGCAAACAAAATGAAATTTGCTTAGGCATGTCTGACACCTAAAATATTAATTTCTTCACACCAACTTTCCCATTTAGCAATAGTTATTCACTGACAAATTTAGGAATAACTGCTTACTACCTAAGCAGTTCATAAATATGCATGGATTTTTGTCAACAAACAAAGAAACTAGCGAATATTTTGATAAAAATGCACCAAAATATGTCAGGATTATAGTAAACATTGATGTTATCTTTCCTATAAAAGCTGAGCTCCTTTTCCTTAGTAAAATAAATTTTCTTTAAAATTCATCATGGGTGGAAATATCTTCAAATATTTGCATAGAGAACTGTGCTAAATTGTGTTTGAAGGTTGAAAAAATGCATTGTAGGTATTTGAGTTGCCTATCTGACAACAAAAATTCACTAATGTAAAGTAATATTATACATCAAAAGAGTTTCTAATATTTTACTAAGGTATTTCACTGCTTCTTCTTTAAGATGATCTGGTCCATGAGTAACCCATTCTCTCTCCTGAGGCTGATAGTAGCAAAGGAGGAGACAGTTTTCTCTGGCTGTGTCTGAATCTTCTGAATACAGCTTGGCCTGTTAATTACTGCAGTTTTTCAACTGGCACAAATGAGGCATTAGGAAGTAGCAAAAGCTTTGCAAGACATAGGTCTGCTTTTACTAGTTAGAGATTTTCAAAATAGACCCACCTTGATTATCTTAAAATATTTTTATAATCCAAATAGTGGTACTCAGGAAGTCAAGAAGTTAAATGTTTTTCATGCTACATTTTCTTTCATGACATCTTCAGTAATGCATCATTTCAGTATTTGGTCATAAAAGATAAATTTTTCATTCAAAGGTAAAGGAATCAAAATTAACTAAAGGTGGGTAATTCCAGAGACTTAAATGTGTTTAAGATTTGTGGGTAAAAAGGGTGGGAGCAAGAGTGCCAGTAATCTCCACTTCTTATTCGAAATGCTACTTGTAACGTATTCATGAATTTAACATAGGATGATTGTAAGATGTTAATGAAAATGTTTTTAGATTATTAAGTAGGTACTGGATGAGTATGTTTCAGTACACAGTTAAGTCTAGAAATTTGCTCTCTCCCTCTATCTCTTTCTCAGGCGCGCGCGCGCGCACACACACACACACACACACACACACACTCACACAATGCAGACACATACACCATGCCCACTTCTTCATACCTCTCTTCCCTCTCTTCTCTTGTTCTCTCTGCTCTCTTCCTCCATTTCTCCCCTTTTCTCTCTTGCTACTACTGACTCTGTTTGCCTCTCTTCATCTTTAACACATTTTCTCTCTCTCGGCCTCTCTTTTGAATTTTCCCTCTCTTGCTCCCCTTTCCCTCTTCCCATGTTTCTCCACTTTATCTTTACTGTACTCTCTTCCTATTTTCACTCCCTTTTTCTTCCAAACTTCTCCCCCTGTCTCACCTCCTACCTCTTTTCCCTTTCTCCCCCTTTCTTTCTCACCATTTCTCTTTCCAAAACTCAAAAAGGGGCATGACATTTTTGTCTTTTCCTTTTTTGAAATAACATATACACATAATCATACACAATGTTCCACAGCTGTGGCTCAGCTTTGGTCAAGAACAGGCCATCAAAAGATATAATAGTGTATTCATGGAATACTATGCAGCCATTAAAAAAAAACATGACATCACGTCCTTTGCAGGGACATGGATGGAGTTGGAAGCCGTTATCCTCCGCAAACTGATACAGGAGCAGAAAATCAAATACTGCATGTTCTCACTTATAATGGGAGCTGAACAATGAGAACACATGGATACATGGAGCGGGGAACAACACACACTGAGGCCTCTTGAGGGCGGGTGGGGTGAGGGAGAGCATCAGGATGAATAGCTAATGGATCCTGGGCTTCATACCTAGGTAATGAGTTGATCTGTGCAGCAAACCACCATGGCACATATTTACGTATGTAACAAAACTGCACATCCTGCACATGCACCCTGGAACGTAAAATAAAAGTTGATGAAAAAATATATATAAGTATAATGACGTATTTTTCTATTGAGTAGAGAATGTTTGACTGCTTAAAATATGACTTCTCTATAGGATTAAATTGCATTCATCAGCCAAAAAATATTATCTTAATCATTTTTTCTGAACTCAACTCCTGACAAAAGACCAGATAATGCACATCTAAAATACTGTGTTTCTTTTTATCTAGAAGTTTTTAAATAAGTCCTAAAATTATAAAACACAGAGGTAGAAGTGGACTTAGAATTCACATAGTGTAACCTTCACCTGAAGCCCTTCAATAGAGCAGTCTGTCAGTGTCCACATATCCTTTGCTTTTTCAATTTTAGTGCTGGAAATCTCCCTGCTTCATAAGATGGCTCATTTCATTTTATTAGAAAATGCTGTCTTCTAATGAAATAAAATCTGTCAGTGTAAACTTCACTCATAGGTTAATACCAATTACTCATAGTACATTAGCAGACTATTTTCAACATAATTAATTTGCCTTTCATAATTTATTTTTCTGCCAGACCAACATGCAAATAGTTTTACTGCCCCTTATTATATAAAAGTAAATTGGAACAAGCTAAAAACTTTCAAAAAGGTTTTCTTTCAAGTCAACTAGTGTTGGCAGTTATTTCAAAATTAATGATCATATACACACACACGCACACGACACACACACACACACACACACACACACACACCACTAAAGCTTATTGAAAAAGAAAAGAAAAATGAAAAAACAAAACTATCTGTAATGAATTTCCCAAAACAAAGTTCACCTCAGCTCCCTTTCCTGGACAGTGTTTTGAAATATTCCCTCTAAGATTACAGGTGCTTTTAAATCTTACATAGTTAGAAATCTAATCTATTAAAACTAACCATAGGAGTGGCTACAGAATTTTCCCATCTACATATATATTTTATGCTTAGATTTCAAGTCTGAACACCATAACCATATTGAATGAACCACTCTAATGACCAACTCTGACACTAGGCTACTTTCAAAGCTTATTTACCATGTTGTCTGGTTCCAGCATCAAGGGCCAAATTAAGCCATCAAATGTACTTCCAAGTAAACACAACAGTTGTCATTGTATTGGGAATTATATGGAAAACTAAGTCCTAAATGTGCTACTGCTTGTGACAGGGCTACCAGCTCTGTTGTATTTGCTAGCTAAGGGCTAATCCCCTACTTCTCACTTTTGATGGTCACAAGTTGTACCCCAAAGTTTTTTTTTTCTGAGAAAGAAACAAAAATAATATATAGTATGTATATATATGTGTATATATGTATATGTATGTGTATATATATACGTGTATATATATATATTTGGAGAGGACCTCTTTTTTTTTTTTTCTCTTACTCTTTTCTGCCAAAAATCTTCCCTTCCTGCCATGGTTTATCTGTTACTTTACAGAATTATATACCATATATCTCTCCATAGTGTCTTAGGAGAGATGATTTCCTTTTCTTTTATTCTTTTACTAATATTTCTCACATGCACACAGACATACATGCACAGCATTTTACCACCACTATCAGGTATGCTTCCAAATTTTGGTAGTCTTTTATATTTAAAATAGATTTCTACCTATTACTACCAATTTTTTTCTATCATTTTAGTCCAGTGAATAGTCTACGTTTTAGAACTATCTATGGACATTTGGGCTAGATCTAACACCTTTTAATGAGTCTTTGAGCCTTACAAAATTTCTGTTGTTGGGGCTTATTTCTCTTTATTATCTTTCTGTTCCTGAATTTATTCTGAGAGATCGTGTATATATGCTAACACTAATTATATAATAGTTAAGTAATTTCTTACTACTTTATGGATTTCGATTTGCTTTCTGTCATTTTAGGCCTCCTCTTTTTAAGTAAATCACTCCACTACTCTCCTCAATAGAGGCTTTTTATGAGCCTGCCTAGTATCTGAAGAATACAGAATCACCAACATGTCATATATTTGCAAAACATTGATAGAAGTCAAGTAGTTCTAAAAACTCACCAAATTTCTGAGAGTCAAACTGTCTAGAGTTGACTAAATCTTTACTGCATATTTTTTCTTAAAGGCTGCTGGAATCTCATTGAACAATGGAGTCATTATACTTGCTAATTCTTATTTCACTTCCTTTGCATTTTATCTGCCACGAAGTTAATTTTATTATTTCCCGGAGATTACTGCTTTTAATAGCATGTCTCAATCTTTCATAAGTGTATTGGTAAGAATGCTACTGCTTTGCTAATCAACGTGGCCATGATAATCAGTAATGATAGTTAAAACAAAATTCCTGGAGCTAGACTGTCTGGGCCTGAATCCTAGCTCCATTACTTCCTAGGCTGGTGATCTTGGCAATTTACTTAGCATTTTTGGGCTTCGATTTCCTTACCTGAATAACAGACACAAAGAAATGTAAGTATTTCATAGGGCTCTTGTGTTATGTTCAAGGGCTCAGACTAGTACCTGGCACATAGTAAGAACTCAGCAAACCTTGTGTACTCTTTTACTTACTCATTAGACTCTCTGTATATGTGACTGTCAGGTAGACTGTAAATATAATATGTTAATTATAACAATATAAACTAAATAATTCACAGTAATGATCAAAATGGTTGAAATAATTTTGCTAGACATATGAATAGCAGATTATTTCACTTTTCAGAAAAAACAGATAAATAGGATTGATATTTATCAGACTTTAAATTTATTACTTCATTTTATAATTCATAAAAAACAAACTTAATATTTATTATAATCTAAGCTAGGCACCATTTTATCAGATTCAGGTTACAGTTGTTAAGGTCTCTAAAATATTACAGAAACACTTCTACAAAGCTCCTAAGACATCTATATATACAGGATTACCTACACGAAAACAAATGTTTATATATACACACTACACCTAAGGATTTGATTCATTTGCTCCTACTTGATCTTTGTTCACAAGCTTAAGTAATTCATTTGTTTCCTTTATCTATGCACAGCATTTGATTAATTCTATGATATTCCAGAGCAGTGAATATCATACATTGAAAATATGCTTTATAATGTAAATTAGAAGGATATTATATCAGATCACAACACTTGAAAATAAATCAAAATCCATCTGTATCATTTTCAGGGCATGTATTATCCATTGTGAACACTTACCCATGACATTTACATCCTTAGCTAGGATATACCAGCCATTAATTTCCCTCTATAAAGAAATTTGCTCACACAACAAACCACTAATTGTTGAAATGTAATTTGAGGGTATCCGAAAGTGTACTGTCTGGAAAAACTTCTGTTAAAAAACTTCTCTTAAAGTTTAGTAAATATAATAAAATGCTTATTTCCTTTCTTTCAAAGTAATATTTGAATGTTTTTTAGGCTCCAAGTTTGTTTCTTGTTTTACAGTAAGTATTTTTCTATCTCATCATGCCTAATAAATTTAATCAGGGCATTTTTAGCATCTTCTCTATACAAAGCACCACTCATTATATAATATATATGACTAAACGATAATCTTCAGCATGATATAAAGTTATGTATTTACTATGGGTGCCCACAAAGAATAAAATCCACAAGAGCCACGTTTGATTAGGTTGTTCATTTTACAAAACCCCAAAATAAGTAGCTTGGTCTTTTTTATATACATAGTGAGAGAAGTGTTACTAAGTGCAGCAGTCAAGAATATATTCACAGCATGCCATTGGTAGTACAGATAAGGGGAGTCACTAAAATAAACCATGAAGCTTAATTTCCAGGCTAAGTGTCTGTCTCAACTCTTTTTTAAGCTGAGAAATAGGTGCAGAGAAAAACATGTACTTTTATCTGGTCATTTATTTGGACTATAAATTAGACTAAGTCTACCTTTAAACACTGGGCTGAATGTGAAAGATCCCCTAGTAAACAATGGGGCCCTGAGTACAATTCTTCCTCCTCCACACCCTTGTGAATTATGAAGCTTAATCATGTTCATGTCTAAGCCAATACCTAAATTAAGTAATAGATCAGAAGCTGGAAACAAATTCTGCAGCTCTTACATTGCCTCTTTCAGAATGATTTTTTTCCCCTGCTTCCCTATCTGCCATTGCCTTCTGCAATGGGGGAACTTCTCAGAAAAGTTACAATAGATATCAAAGATGCGTTACATAAGCAGAGAAAGTCATTTTACTGCTCTGGTTTCCTAAGATTCCTCATTGATAAAGTGAAAGATTTGGACATGAAAGCTCTTCTAGCTTCGTGAGTCTAAAATCTCTATCACTTACATTGTTTACAACTGAGTCACATTATAAGAATTTTTTAAAATCTCCTTTAAAAGGCTTTATAGTTTAATTGCCAAGAGCATGGTCTCTAAAGGCTAAAAGGCTGGATTCCTTACCATTCACTAGTTCTGAGACCTTGAATACATCATCTAAATGCTCTGTTCTTCAGTCTTCTCATTTATGAAAAGGGGAAGATAATGGAATCTATATCATATAGTTATTATGAGAATTAAATGAGTTAACCCATGTAAAGCACTTAGAAAAGTATTTGACACTTAGATGGTGAATTTGTCATGTTCCGTAACTGCTGATGATGAAAACTTGCGATCATATTGACTACATTTTCACTATTTTACTGAGCATTTCACAAAAATATTGTCTTCTATTGAGGAACATCCATATTCAGGAAACATAAAGCCAGTGTGTGTGCATGTGAGTGTATTATTTAGCACATTATCTATCTAGATTATTTAGATAGTGTGTGCTTTAAATAAACTATATTTCCCTTTTGTCAAAACAGTTCTTGCTTTCATTCTTGATGCAGAAGCTAAAAAAGTTGATCTCATAGAAGTAGAGAGTAGAATAGTGTCTACCAGAGGATAGGAAGCATGGAGGGGAAGGGGAGATAGAAGAGGTTGGTTAGAGGTTACAAAATTACAGCTAGAAAGAAAGAATAAGTTCTAGTATTCTATAGCATTGTAGGATGACTATAGTTAAAGATAATATATCAAATCGTTAGAAGGAGGATATTAAATGTTCCCAACACAAAGAAATGATAACTGTTTGAGATTATAAATATGCTAATGACCCTGATCTGATCACTATACATTATATGTATTGCAACGTTACTATGTAACCCATAAATATGTACAATTATGTGTGAACTAAAAATTTTTAAAAAATACAAATCAAAAAATATAATATTTGCAAAAAACTCTATTACAATAAGAATTACACATGGAATATACAGATATTTGGGAAAAATGTATTTACTTAGTTTCAATCAATTGGCTGTCTGATATAACAATAGGCTTTTAAAATCTACAATAGTTAAAAATAAAGTCATAGAAGCCAGGATAAAATAGCACCCTCATCAAAAGAAGTGATAACTCTACAACGGTATGAAATGTTTTCTAAAATATCATGTGATGGTTAATTTTATGCACCAACTTGAAGGGTGTTTTTGCATATGATTAACATTTAAATCAGTGAACTTTGGGTAAAGCAGATTGCCCTCCATGATGTGGGTGGGCCTCATCCAATCAACTGAAGGCCTGAATAGAACCAACATACCGGCCTTCTTGTGCAAGAAGGAATTCTCCAGCAGATGGCCTACAGATTTTATTAGTATCATTGTTTCTCTTGGTTATCCACTCTGCTGACCCACACAGCAGAATTTGGGCTCACCAAGCCTCCATAATCTTATGCTTTAATTTCTTATAATAAATCTCCTTCTATATATATATGTGTGTGTGTGTGTGTGTGTGTGTGTGTGTGTGTGTGCGTGTTTGTGTGTGTGTATATATGCATACATCCTGTTGATTCTGTTTTTCTATATAACCCTGATTATACAGTATTTGCTCAGTCTTCTAAGTGTCTCAACTAAGAAAATGCACAAAGTACTAAGATAATATGTCATCAAGAGATTCCTCTCCCTTCTATACCAAGAAAGAAAACCTATCAACATGCTTTGAATTGAAAGGAAAAATCAGTCAATGATGTGATAACTCTGCCATACTAACTTAGAATTCAAGCCTTCTAAAGCCATGTACTGCCTGAAATCATTGCACACAAGCTCTAGCTATATTTTCTCAATCTTGAGAGTCTTTCTTCTTAAAAAGAATAGTATTATTAACTATGAGTAAATCCTACATGATGATAAAATTCAAATTTAATGGTAAACTATTCACTGAGAAATTTGGAAACAATCTATCTGCTTTTTAACATTCTTCAATTATCATAGCATTTTCTCTGAAAATCAATGTTCTATACAGCTAGTGCCTGGCAACAAGGGACCTCAAATAATGACTTTAGTGAGATAGGGAAATCTGTTTTGGTTCAAAAACAATTGGAGAGAAAGACTGCTAGATCATACATTCATATTTCAATGAAAATGTAGTTTATTCCCAAGTCAGCTTTTCAATACAGGCAGTCCCTGACTTACCATGGTTCAACTTAGGATTTTTTTTTACTTTACAATGGTACAAATTGATACACATTCAGTAGAAACCGTACTTTGAGTACCCATACAACCTTTCTGTTTTTCAGCACAATAGTCAATAGATTACATGATATATTAAACTTTTTTAATAAAATAGGCTTTGTATTGGATGATTTTGCTGAACTATGGGCTAATGTAAGTGTTCTGAGCAGGTTTAAGGCAGACTAGGTTAATCTATGATGTGTTGTTAGGTGAGATGTATTAAGTCCATTTTTTATGTACAATATTTTTAATTTACTGTGGGTTTATCATAATGTAACCCCACTGTAAGTTGAGGAGCATCTGTATTTATGTTTATAATGTTTGCCTAGTTGATTCTTAATATTGGTAGTTTCTTTTCAAAAATTTTTTAACACATGTCAAACCATGATGAAGATGAGACTGCCATATGTTGCTTTCAAGTTGAGCTTCAATGGTCCATTTCCGTGAAAATTGGATACTAATATATTTCTTAGTATTTAAGCCCCTAAGTGGCATGTTTAAAAAAAATATTTCCAGCAGCCATTCAGATGTTTCTATACTAGTTTTGTGCCTTACTTACTACACATACACAATTACTGATGAGACCAGGAGGAAGAAATGTGCTTAAACCAGCTAAACAAAAGGTACTCAATTTCTTATTCCCTATAATAAGAAGAATTGGAATTCCAAGTAAAGTCCCACAAAAAACAAAGCCAGCAATAGATTCTAGATAGATGCAAGGATGAGAGAGCTCAAATAGGTTAAAAGTCAAAAATTAGCCAAGAGATAAATTATGCATATGGCTTGATTTAACAAAGACAATGTTTCCAATTAAAGCCAAATTTTGTTTGTGTGTGTGTGCGTGTATTACTTTCCTATCACCGTTGTGACAAATTACTACAAACTAGTGGCTTAACACAATACAAATCTTTATTATAGTGCTGGAGGTCAGAGTTCCAAAATGGGTCTTGCTGGGCTAAAATGGAGGTGTTGGCAGGCCTATATTTCTTTCTAAGGAAGAATCCATTTCCAGTTTCTAGAGACTACTCACATTCCTTGGATTACAGCCCTTTTCTTCCATCTTCAAAGCCAATAAGAGCAGGTCAGTTCTTCTAACGTCCCATCACTATGATCTCCTGTTATGCCTCCCTCTTCCAAACTTAAGGAGACTTGTGATTAAATTGAACTCACTTGGGTAATTCAGGATAAAATACTTACTGCAATATCATCTGATTAGCGACTTTCCATGTCCTTTCCTATCTAAGGCATCATATTCACAGGTCCCAGGGATTAAGGCATGGGCATCTCTGGCAGGCAATTATTCTTTTTATTGTTGTTATTATGAGTTTTTTTGATAATTTCAAATTTTATTTTAGATTCAGGGGGTACATGTGCAGGTTTGTTACACGGGAATATTGTGTGATCCTAAGGTTTGGGGTATGAATGATCCCTCACCCAGCTAGTGAGCATAGTACTCAATTGGTAGTTTTTCAGCTCCCCCCCACTCTAGTAGTCTCCAGTGTCTACTGTTCCCATCTTTATGTCTATGTGTACTTAATGTTTAGCTCCCACTTATAAGTGAGAACATGTGGTATTTGGTTTTCTATTCTTGCATTAATCCACTTAGGATAATGGGAGTCTGTATTAGTTAGGGTTCTCTAAAGGGACAGAACTAATAGGGTATATGTATATATGAAGGGAAGTTTATTAGGAAACATGAATCACACAATCACAAGGTGAAGTCTCATGATGGGCCATCTGCAAGCTGAGGAGCAAGGAAGCCAGTCCGAGTTCCAAAACCTCAAAAGTAGGGAAGCCGACAATGCAGCCTTCAGTCTGTGGCCCAAGGCCCAGGACCCTCTGGCAAATCACTGGTGTAAGCCCAAGAGTCCCAAAGCTAAAGAATTTGGAGTCTGATATTCAAGAGCAGGAAGCATCCAGCACAGGAGAAAGATGAAGCCTGGAAGACTCAGCAAGTCAAGTCCCTCTACCTTCCTCTGCCTGCTTTATCCTAGCTGCACTGGCAGCTGATTAGATGGTGCCCACCCAGATTGAGGGTGGGTCTGCCTTTTCCAGTCCACTGACCCAAATGTTAATCTCCTTTGCCAACACCCTCACAGACACACCCAGAAACAATACTTTGCATCCTTCAATCAAGTTGGCACTCAATATTAACCATCACACGTCCACCCCTTGTCAACTTGAACCCACACACATCTCTTGAAATCATACATAATCTTCAAATATAAACAATAATGAGGTCATAATTATGCCTAACATACAGCTATCCTTCGTATAACTAGAAGTGCACTAATTATTATTTGTAGCACAGTATGTATATATTTTTTACACTGATGTCCACAAAATATGAATTTGTTTTTGATTTTTATTAATTCAAGAACTTGTATCTTTTGATTTAGAATCTCCAGAAGCTGTTCTTTTGTAGAGTCCATGTGAAATGACAGGTCATCTGAATTTGCCTTAAAAGTTAGCAAGAGATATCTTACATCAATTGCTTTTGCCAAGGGTTGGTTATATGCTGCAAAAGTGATTTAACCTCTGAAAGACATTTATAATAGAGACCTAAGATTCTGTTATTGAAAGCAGGGGTCCTCAGCTTTTGTGGCACCAGGGACTGGTTTTGTGGAAGACTATTTTTCCATGGACAGAGGTAGGTTTCGGGATGAAACTGTTCCACTTCAGATAGTCAGGCATTAGATTACAAGGAACGCACAACCTAGATCCCTCGCATGCACAGTTCACAATAGGGTTTATGCTCCTATGAGAATCTAATACCATCACTGATCTGACAGCAGGCGGAGCTCAGGCAGTAATGAAAGCCATGGAGAGTGGTTGTAAATACAGACGAAGCTTCATTTCTTTGCCCGCCACTGACCTCCTGCTGTGTGGCCCCAGTTCCTAACAGGTCAGGGACCAGTACCAGTCCACGGCCCAGGAGTTGGGGATCCCTGATCTAAAGCCTCTTAAACACAACTACTATAGTCTTAAAGTGTAGAGTATGGACTCGAGCTAGACAGACTGTGTTTAAACCCCAGCTTTACCACTTACTAACTGTGTCATCTTCAACAGGTCATTTAACTACTCTAGACTTCAGTTTCCTAATCTAAAGAAACAGAATTTAAAATATTACCTAAGTGAGATGATATATGCCAGTAGAATGGTGTCTGGCACAAAGTTAAGTGCTATATACAGGTTAGCTATTATTACCGAGTTATAATTTTAAAACCATCCAAAATGTCTAATTTAATAAAAATATATTGCCAACATTAGCAATAACAGATCTTGACTCATTTCATAACTACTAACTATATTAAGGAACAAACACTCTTTTAAAAACTATACATTTTATACATGCATATGTAATGCCAAATACTAACTAAAGTAAAGGTCATTCCTATATGATAGAAAACACTGAGTCGTAAAATGGCTTAGATATTATGTATTGCCATCTTCCCAATGAAAGAGAATCTATAGCCACTTTGGAAGACAGTTTGGCAGTTTTTCACAAAACTAAATATACTATTAACCATAAGGCTCAGCAATCACATTCCTTAGTATTTACCCAAAGGAGCTTAAAACTTATGTTTACACAAAACCAGCAAGCAGATATTTATAGCAGCTTTATTCATAAATGCCAAAATTTGAATGTAACCAAGATATCCTTCAGTAGGTTAATGAATAAATAAACTGTGGTAGATTCAGAAATGATTATTCATTGCTAAAAAAAAAATGATCTATCAAGCCATGAAAAGGCATGGAGGATCCTTATATCTGTATTACTAAGTACAATAAGTTAATTGGAAATGGCTACATACTGTATGATTCTAACTATATGACATTCTGGAAAAGGTAAAACTATGGAGACAGTAGAAATATCAGTGGTTGCCAGGGGTTGTGGAATAGGGGAAGGAGGGATGAACAAGCAGAGAATGGAGGATTTTTATGGCAGAGAAACTACTCTATAGATACTATAATTGTTGATACTTGTTATTTTAAATGTTTTCCAAACCCATAGAATGTACAAGAGTGAACCCCAATGTAAACTATGGACTTTGGGTGATATTGATGTGTAAATTCATCAACTATAACAAATGTGTCACTCTGGTGGGGGATATTGACAATGGGGGAGGTTACACATGTGTAGGGTAGAGAAGATACGGGAAATCTCTATAACTTCCTCTCATTTTTGCTGTGAACCTAAAACTTCTGTAAAAAATAAAGTCTAGTTTAAAAAAATGAAAAGGGGTAAAATATTTCTGAGTGCTCTGGGAGCAAAGTTGTAAATGGGAAATTCACCCACAGATGAACCATCACTGGAAGCTTTGTGGTAAATGTTATTATTACTTTTTTGAATAATATTTTGACTCTGGAAATCCATATAGTCAAAAGCATTTGTAGATACAGAGTTTTTCAAGTGTGTGCTTTCTGTAAGTACTCAGATTATGAAATTATACACTAATTAGTATAACTGGCACATGGATCTCAATTAAGATTTCTAAAATTATGAGTCTGCTAATGAGTAGGTAAAAGAGAATTCATACAATTCCAAGATTTCTTAAGACTTAGAATTTCTCAAATTATGAACATACTAACATAACAGTAGAATTATATTTATGAGAGAAAAAATAGAGGGATTTTTTTCTAAACAAATATATGTTCTCATTATTTTAATGTTCATACAAAGTGTAAATAATTAATGCAGTATACAATGTCTCAATTGTCAAGAAAACATTATGAAGCAAATTATAACAACAATAAAGACACAATTCTTGATTTTGGTGAGCGGGGGATAGGTGGAGTAGAATGAGATTTCTCTGCTTGACTCTTACTCCTAGAAATTGAGTAGGCAATTCAGGATCATTTTATATATTTGCCTTCTTTCAAAGTTGAAAGCAATATACTGACTGAGCACAACTCCTTTTTAAAGCCTCATTTCCTTGTGTTTTCAATTGTTTACTGAATGCAAAATGCATGTTTGAATTATTTAGCATAGAAGGGACTTATAGAAGGCTCTAGAGAAAATGCTTCTGGAACAGTATAGTGTGGCCCTATTTTATCCACCATTGCACAGAACATCTATAAATGGTCCCAGTGCTTGCACAGTGCTATAGGGCTCATTCCCATTATCCCTGAGCTGTGGTTACTTCAAATGCTCTGCTAATCGTTCTGTGCTCTAACATGCTCTGGAGAAAAAATCTAAATGTTCCCACAAAGTCAAAGAAAAGTCCCACTAATGAAATTAAGCAAAGGGAATAAAATGTGTTTTTGTCAATGTGTAGGCCCCTTAAGTGAAATTTTGGAAGGTGATGCACATGGATTATTCAGTAGAAAAGCTTTTAATTAGTGTTACTTCACACTTACTCTGTAAAGGGCAAAAATAATCAAAACTGTCCATCAGGTTTGTTGAATGTGTAACCAAGCAAATTTTCAACAAGCTGAGTTCCCATCAGTTATTTATTTGAAAAATATCTGAACGTTAATTTATGAAAAGTTACAAGGAGTGGGTAATCAACTTCTTTTAGAGGAAATATACTTTGTTCTTTTAACTCATAAAAGTAATCTTTATCAAACCTAAACTTCATTTTTTTTACTTTCTTTTTTTATCCAGATAATTTTTTTATTATTGAAATACCTAAGAATGTGACAAGGAGATATGAAAACAGACAAGTAACAGAAGAAAGACAATTTCATGAAATAATATATTTTGAACAACTTTCTAATGGTTATTTCTTTCTCTTCCTGATAAGGTTCTCTTTTTCCCCGTCACTCTTTATGTCCTGGCTGTGGAGTGAAAAGTGCATTGAAAACAGCAATTTCCAAAAGCTTTGGTGAGGATGTTATGACAAAGAAAAAAATATGCAAATATTCTGACTCTACCTCAATACTGATTTCAAATCAGCCTGATGCATTAATGTAATTGCTTTAATGGACAATTGTCTACACCTTTTAAACTTCAATCAACCCACATCACTTTCACGGAAGTACCCAAAACATTGTTGATTAAAATATTGTCTCTAGAAACAAAGATAATCCTTTTGTGAGACTTAAAATTTAATTTATAGACTCTGTGTGACACTAGGTCAGTGCTGCCATTAGATTAACACCAATTGACCTTGACAATTCTGACATTTTAAACAGGCAATTGGTAGTGATTGGCTCACCTGAGAACAGCTCATTATTTATAGGGCTATCTCTTATAGAAACAAACAGCTCATTATTTATAGAGCTGTCTCTTACAGAAACAACTTGATTCTGACCTGAGTAGTTCTCATCTGCACCTGAGCAGTGCAGAATTACAGATCCCTACTGAATTGAACAGTAATGTGTTCCTTTGTATTCCTTAATTTTATAGTCTTAATTTTTTAACATGTCCTGCAAGGTTTGTATCCCCTCCTGTGGGTGACATCCTAGCTAGACTGCCCAAGGAAAAGTACTGATGGTACATGCATTTCCCTCTTAAGTCTACACCATCCTAAATGCTATTCTGTGGACAATTCTTCATATTTGAAAAGAGAGAGAGAGAGCTAGAACACCAGTGGTTGTTTTAGTAGGCATTTATCATGTGCTCATAAAAATTTTTTAAAAACTGCACACACAAACCCATAAAAATCAGTTTGATTTACCAGGAGGTTTAATAAAACAAAAATTCCCTGAAATAATTTGTAACTTTCCTTTATTAAAAGTAAAAATTCCACCATTAGTACAAAATGTGAAAAAAACACATTTTTTTTTGCAGTAAATATCCTCATAGCAATGTTCCTGAAACAGATTTTAGATCAAGTACACTGTCTCTCAATCAACAACATCTTAGTCTACACCTAACTTATTGTTATGTATCATTATCAAGATGTGCTTCTCCTCATATTATCCAATGTTTAGGTGCAAAATAAACATATTCTTCCTAGAGGTTTAGCACATATACACTGTGTTGGAAAAATTCTACTTAATATAAACATTTGAATCAGAATTTCAATTAATAATATGTGGCATTCTGCTTGTAATATTACTCAGTAAATGCGCAACACTTTTATACTTGATCTCCTCAAGATGAAAACAACACAGAGAGAAATTCCAGCAAAAATAAACTACTTTTCTTCCCAAAAAGGAAGCTTAGCCTAGGAGATTAAAAAATAATAATAAATAATAATGCGAGACTCTAGGCAATGAACCCAGCCAAGCCTGCCTAAACTTCTGACTTACAGAACTGTGAGATAATAAATTAGTAGTTTTAGGCTTCTAAGTTAGTGGTAATTTATTACGCAACTTCCAAAACTAATACACATTCATTTTTTTAGATAAAGAAACTGAGACCCACAAGGTCCACAAATACAAAATGATGTGTCTCTCTTCAATAATCACATCCTACCTGATACATGTTCTGTTCTGTTGGTCTACATGCCTGTTTTCATACCAGTACTGTGCTGTTTTGGTAACTATAGCCTTGTAGTATAGCTTGAAGTCTAGTAATGTGATGCCTCCAAGTTTGGTTATTTTTGCTTAGTCTTGCTTTGGCTATGCAGGGTGTTTTTTTTAATTCCATATGAATTTTAGGATAGTTTTTTTCTGGTTCTGTGAAGAATGATTATGGCACTTTGATGGGAATGGCATTGAATCTGTAGATTGCTTTTGGTAGTATGGTGATTTTCACAATATTGATTCTACCCATCCACGAGCATGGGATGTGTTTCTATTTGTGTTGTCGATGATTTCTTTCAGCAGTGTTTTGTAGTTTTCCTTGTGAAGATCTTTGACCTCCTTGGTTAATTATATTCCTAAGGAATTTTTTTTTTTTTTTTTTTTTTTTTTTGCAGCTGCTGTAAAAAAGATTGAGTTCTTGATTTGTTTCTTAGCTTGGCTGTTGTTAGAGTATAGCAATGCTACTGATTTGTGTACAATGATTTTGTATCCTGAAACTTTACTGAATTCGTTTATAAAATCTAGGAGTGTTTTGGATAAATCTTTAGGGTTTTCTAGGTATACAATAATATCATCAGTGAACAGCGACAGTTTGATTTCCTTTTAATCAATATAGATGCACCTTGATTCCTTTATCTTGTCTGATTGATCTGGTAGGACTCCCAGTCCTATTTTGAAGAGAAGTGGTAAAACTGGACATCCTTGTCTTGTTCCAGTTCTCAGGGGGAATTCTTTCCAACCTTCCCCATTTAGCATAATGCTGGCTATGTGTTTGTCACAGATAGCTTTTATTACCTTGAGGTATGTCCTTTGTATGCCAATTTTGCTGAGGATTTTAATCATAAGCGGATGCTGGATTTTGTCAAATATTTTTCTGCATCTATTGAGAAAATCGTGTGATTTTTGTTTTTAATTCTGTTTATGTGATGTATCACATTTATTGACTTGTGTATGTTAAACCATCCCTGCATCATTGGTATAAAACCCACGTGATCATGGTGGATTATCTTTTTGATATGCTGTTGGAATCAGTTAGCTATTATTTTGTTGAGGATTTTTGCATCTATGTTCATCAGGGATATTGGTCTGTAGTTTTCTTTTTTTGTTACGTCCTTTCTTGATATTGGTATTAGGGTGACACTTCATAGAATGATTTAGGGAGAAATCCCTCTTTCTCTGTCTTTGAGTATAGTTTCAGTAAAATTTGTACCAATTCTTTTTTGAATGTCCGATAGGATTCAGCTGTGAATCTGGTCCTGGACTTCTTTTTGTTGGCAATTTTTTATTATTGTTTCAATCTTGCTACTTGTTGTTGGTCTGTCCAGAGTTTCTATTTCTTCCCAATTTAACGTGGGAGGGTTGCATGTTTTCAGGAATGTATCCATCTCCTCTAGATTTCCTAGTTTTTGTACAAAAATGCGTTCATAGTAACCTTGAATGATGTTTTGTATTTCTGTGTATTGGCTGTAATATCTCCTGGTTCATTTCTAATTGAGCTTATTTGGATCTTCTCTATTCTTTTCTTGGTTAATCTCACTAACGGTCTATCCATTTGTTTATCTTTTCAAAGAACCAGCTCTTTGTTTCATTTATCTATTATATTTTTGTTTCAATTTCATATAGTTCAGCTCTGGTCTTCGTTATTTCTTTCCTTCTGCTGGTTTTGGATTTGGTTTGTTCTTGTTTCTCTAGTTCCTTGAGGTGCAACCTTAGATCGTCTATTTGTGCTCTTTCAGACTTTTTGATGTAAGCATTTAATGCTATGAACTTTCCTCTGAGTACTGCTTTTTTTGTATCCCAGAGGTTTTGTTAAGTTTTGTTACTATTATCATTCAGCTCAAAGAATTTTTAAATTTCATTGTTGACCCAAAGATAATTCAAGAGCAGATTATTTAGTTTTCATGTATTTGTATAGTTTTGAGGATTCCTTTAGGAGTTGATTTCCAGTTTTATTCCACTGTGGTCTGAGAGGATACTTGATATAATTTTTTTCTTAAATTTATTAAGACTTGTTTTGTGACCTATCACATGTTCTACTCTGGAGGATATTCCATGTGCTGAAAAAAAATGTATAGTCTGCAGTGGTTGGGGAAATGTTCTGCAAATATCCATCAAGTCCATTTGTTCTAGACTATGGTTTAATTTCACTGTTTATTTTTTGATTTTTTGCCTTGATGACCTGTCTAGTGCCGGCAGTGGAGTATTGAAGTCCTGCACTATTATTATGTAGCCATCTATCTCATTATCTCATTTCTTAGGTCTAGTAGTAATTGTTTTATAAATTTGAAAATTCCAGCGTTAGGTGCGTATATACGATTGTGGTATTTTCCTGTTGGTCTATTTCTTTTATCATTATATGATGTCCCTTTTTGTTTTTTCTTCATGTTGTTGCTTTAAATTCTGCTTTGTCTGATATAGGAATAGCTACTCCTAGTTGCTTTTGGTTTCCATTTGCATGGAATGTTTTTTTCCACCCCATTACCTTAAGTTTATGTGAGTCCTTATGTGTTAGTGAGTCTCTTGAAGACAGCAGCAACTTGGTTGGTGGATTTTTATCCATTCTGCCATTCTGTATCTTTTAAGTGGAGCATTTAAGCCATTCACTTTCAGTGTTAGTATTCAGATGTGAGGTATTGTTTTACTCATCATGTTAGTTGTTGCTTTAATACCTTGCATTTTTGCTGTTGCATTAATGTTTTATGGGCCCTGTGAGATTTATGCTTTAAGGTGTTTCTATTTTGGTGTATTTTAAGGTTTTGTTTCAAGATGTAGAACTCCTTTTAGCATTTCTTGTAGTGCTGGCTTAGTAGTCAGCACTTGTTTGTCTGAAAACAACTTCATTTCTCCTTCATTTTGTTTCAGGGGGCTAAAGATGGGACCTCAATCCCCTCTGGCTTGTAAGGTTTCTGCTGAGAGGTCTGCTGTTAATTTGATAGGTTTTCCTTTATAGGTTATCTGATGCTTTTGTCTCACAGCTCTTAAGATTCTTTCCCTTGTCTTGATTTTAGATAACCTGATGACTACATGCTTAGGTGGTGATCTTTTTGCAATGAATTTCCCAGGTGTTCTTTGAGCTTCTTGTATTTGGATGTCTAGACCTCTAGCAAGACCAGGGAAGTTACCCTCAATTATTCGCTCAAATAAGTTTTCCAAATTTTTAGATTTCTCTTCTCAGGAACACCAGTTATTCTTATGTTTGGTCATTTAATATAATCAAAAATTTCTTGGAGTCTTTGTTCATTTAAAAATTATTTTCTTTGTCTTTGTGTGATTGGGTTTATTTGAAAGCCTTTTCATTGAACTCTAAAGTTATTTCTTCTACGTGTTCTATGCTACTGTTGAAAGTTTCCACTACATTTTGCATTTCTCTAAGTGTGTCTTTCATTTCCAGAAGTTGTAATTGTATTTTCTTTGTGATATCTATTTCTCTTGAGAATTGTTCATCTATACCCTATATTGTTTTTTAATTGCTTTAAGTTGGTTTTCACCTTTCTGTGGTATCTCCTTGAGTAGCTTAATAATCTACCTTCTGAAGTGTTTATCTGGCAATTCAGAGATTTCTTCTTGGTTTGGATCCATTCGTGGGGATCTGGTGTGATCTTTTGGGGGTGTTATAGAACCGTGTTCTATAACAGGATTACTTTTCTGGTTTCTTCTCATTTGGTTAGACTATTTCAGTGGAGAGGTATGAAACTTAAGGCCTGCTGTTCAGATTTATTTTCTTGTCCTAGAGGGTGATTCCTTGATGTCGTGCTCTCCCCCTTCCCCTAGAGATGAGACTTCCTGAAAGCTGGTCTGCAGTGATTGTTATTGCTCTTCTGAGTCTAGCCACTGAGTGGGGCTACCAGGCTCTGGGCTGATGCTGCAGGATGTCTGCAAAATGTCCTGTGATGTGATCTGTCTTCAGGTCTCCCAGTTGTGGATACCAGCACCTGCTCTGGTAGAGGTGGCAGAGAAGCAAAGTAGACTCTGCGAGAGCTCTTTGTTGTTAATATGTTTAGTATGCTGGCTTTCTTGAATGCTGGTTATGCTAGTGATGAAGTTGTCACATGGACACACTCAGGACCTCTGGTTAGCCAGGATGTTGCAGGCAGTGAAATTAGGTGTTGTCTTCTCCTTCCTGGGATCAGGGTTATTCTGTCCTGAGTTGCTGTAATGGCCTGAGTTGGTTGGCCTCCAGCTAAGAGGTGGCACTTTCAAGATAGCACCAGCTGTGATAGTAGTAAAGGGCTCTAAGCTTACTCTAAGATGGTCCTGGTAAGTATTTTGGTTTCTCAGGTGTTGGGTGGGGCCATAAAGCTCCCATGAGTTTCTGTGTTTTGTGTTCAGCTATCAGGGTAGTTACGAAATACTGTCATGTGGGGGCAGGGTTTGGTGGGTCTGGGTGCAGACTCTCCTTGGGGAGGGCTTGCCATGACCACTGTGGAGCATGGGGTGAGGTGGTTCTCAGGCCAATGGGGTTATGTTCCATAGGCAATCCTGGCCACCTCTGCTGTGCAGTATAGCTCACCAGGGAAGTGGGAGATAGCCAGTAGCAAGAAGCCGTACCCAGCTCTCATGCAGTTGGCGAGGCCAGTCTCTCATTCATGCAGTGCCCCTGCTCTGACCTTGCCACAAGCCATGAGCTACTCCACTGGGAAAGCAAGCATGGCTTTAGGACCTTGCCTTTCCCTGTCTGCCCACTCCATCAGCAGCAGCTCCTGTACTCCCGCACTTGCTTGTATGTGCAGCAGCTCCCTCCCATCCCCCAGACTGGACTCAATAAAATGTGTGCCCAGCCAAAACCACTACCAATTTCATTTGGGAGCCTCCTTCACCCCATAATCCCTCCCCAATTCCTCTGGCCACCTTTCCTGAGGGCCCCTGTGAGATATAGTCAGGGATGGCCTTTCTAGGTTAGAGGTGGAGGCTGGGAGTGCATGCAAGGCACTTCCCACTGCTACTTCTACTTTTATACCTCATGTGACTTCCTAAATCCATTTCATTTCTAGGTAAGGTTAAATCCTCTTGTGATCTGGATTTTCAGATTCCCCAGTCAGGATGTGTGATCGAAGGTAGGTTTTCCTTTCGCCCTCTCACACTTTGGGAACATACAGTTTTTCGCCTGTTTTGTGGAATTTGCAGCAGTGTGCTGCTTCCTTCAAAGGATCTGTGAATTCTTTCAGTTTTCCTGGTATGTTCCTGTGGGGGTTCTTGAAGCAAAAGATCACAGTGTGAGTCCCCACACACTCTTCTGTCTGTCCATGTGGGAGCTATACATTATCCCTGTCTCCTATCTGCCATTTCCCCCCCACTTCGATTTTCTCAAACCACATTAAAAAGATCGATCATCATGACCAAGTGGGATTTATCCCTGGAATACAAGGATGGTTCAGCATACATAAATCATTAAGGTGATATATCATATCAACAGAATGAAGATCAGAAACCATATAATCATTTTGGTTGATGCTGAATAAACATTTGATAAAATGCAACATCACTTCATGATAAAAACTTTCAATAAACTAGGAATAGAAAAAATATACCTCAACATAATAAAAATTGTATATGACAGACTCATCATACTAAATAGGGAAAAATCTGAAAGCCTTTCCTCTAAGATCAGAAATAGGACAAGAATGGCCAATTTCACCATTATTATTCAATATAGTACTGGAAGTTCTACTTAGACACACTAGACAAGAGAAAGATATGAAAGGCATCCATGATGGAAAGGAAGAAGTCAAATTATCCCTGTTTGCAGATGGTATGATATTATCTTTGGAAAAAACTAAGGAGTCCAGCAAAAAAACCATTTGAACTGATAAATTTAGCAAAGCTGAGGATACAAAATCAACATACAAAAATCAGTAGCATTTCTATATGCCAATGGTGAACAATGAGAAAAAGAAATAAAAAAGTAATCCCATTTACAATAGTCACACATAAAATTAAATATCAATGAATTAATTTAAAGAAGTTAAAGATCTCTATAATAAAAACTATAAAACACTGATGAAAGAGATTAAAGACAATACCAAAAAAATGGAAAAATACTCCATGTTCATGGACTGAAGAATCAATATTATTAAAATGTCCATACCACCCATAGAAATCTACAGATTCAGTGCAATCTCTGTCAAAATACCAATGACATTCTTTATAGAAGTAGAAAAAAAATGTAAAGTGTATATAGAACCACAAGAGACTCAGAATAGACAAAGATATAGTAAGGAAAAAGGACAAAGAAAGACAAACTTCACATGTTCTCACTTATTTATGGGAGCTAAAAATGAAAACAATTGAACTCATGGAGCTAGAGAATAGAAGAATGGTTACCAGAGGCTGGAAGGGTGGTAAGTTGGGGAGAGGAGGGTAAGTGGGGATGATTAATGGACACAAAAATATAGTCAGAAAGAATGAATAAGATGTAGTACTTGATAGCATAACAAAGGGATTATAGTCAATAATAATTTAATTATACAGGTTAAAATAACCAAAAAAGTATAATTGGATTGTTTGTAACACACACGAAGGAAGTATGCTTGAGGTGAGCATACCCCATTTACCCTGATGTGATTGTTACACAATGCATGCCTTAACAAAATATCTCATGTAGCCTATAATTATACACACTTACTATATACCCATAAAAATAAAAAATAAAAATAAAATGATAGGATATTTATTTCTTGATGGAAATAACAGGGGAATAGAACTATCCCTGGACATGAAAAGTGGATTTAATTGAATACAATTATTTAAGTGGCTAGACATATGTAGCAGCAATAAAAAAGGACCTAACATTTATCGGACTGGATAAATATTATCCAATCCTTTGGCATTTTGTAATTTTAATTCCAAATAAATATCTCTAGAAGTTGTAAACATAAAATTTTATGTTTGAAATTCAGATAATTTAGATAATTCAAAATTTATGAAAGAAAGTATAGTTTCAAATTCTTCCAAATTGTGTTAGTTTTGGTTCCGCTTTTAGGTTTTCTAAAATAAGTTGGAAATTATTAACAGTCATATGAGGTATATATTGAACTATTTTCATAGGGTCTTATGAATTTTATCTCATAATGATGAATAATATAAAAAAGCTAGCTTATCTGCCATGTATTATTAATGGAACCAATTATATTTATAGTTTAGTGAATAAGGTAAAATGTGACATTTTAAATAATGATGAGATACTTTCACAGAAAACGATGGGAATTTGATACTGCTGAACTTTACCAACTAGACAATCATGTTGGAAAATGTGATCTGATATAAAAATCTTTCCAAATTTTTCTTCTTATATGTTTTTCTATACTTGCAGATCATCCTGTAAGATTTGAACATGCCCACATTAGAATGTAACTTATCTTGAGGGGGTTGGATGGCCTAAAAACAAACCAATCAACAAACAAAAGGATGTAACTTAGTTTCTGAAGTCAAATGGTGTGTATCTGAAGCTGGAGAAAATGGTCTTTTTTTGTTTTTGTGAATATTTGTATGAAGAATTATAAACTTGCTTAAATATGTGGATAAATATTTTTACCTATGAAAACTGAAGCTTTCTTGTGGTAACATTTCACCGCATATGTGAATTACCAGGTTCAAATAGTAAGATATTTTGTGTGGAAAGTATCTTTCTTCTCTATCCACCGTAGGTGGCCTTCACTGGGAACTAAAAAGGCCCAACCAGGGAAACACAGTGTTTTTATTTTTAATTGCTTCAGGTAAAGAAAAATTTTATCATGGTGATACCTGTAGAGAAACCAGAGATAGAAAGGCTAAGATGCTTATTAGCAATCCTTTCAGATTAGTTCAGATACTTTGTTTCACTGGCTGATGCTACAAAAAATGTTTATCATAAATATCGTATCTTAATGAAATTGGCTTAAAATGCTCACTACTACTGGACAATGACCCTCAGCAAGCCTAAAGCAGGTGTCACAAAACAGGGAATCTAAAGTTCTGGAGACCTAACGTACAACATGATGACTATAGTTAATCATACTGTATTGCGTACTTGAAATTTGTTAAGAGAGTCGATCTCAATCTCACACAAAAAAGGTAACTATGAGGTTATGGATATGTTAATTAGCTTGATAGTGGTAATCATTTCACAATGTATAGGTATATCAAAATATCACGTTGTACAACTTGAATATAATTTTGATTTGCGCATTATACCTCAATAAATCCGAGAAAAAAATCAGACAACTCAATAATTTAATATGCCACGTTTACAGACAAAATAAAACACTGATGTGATATATCAATTTCCGAGGTCTCTGTTGAACTGAAAGTTTCAACTACTTATTAGGCAATGCCGATAAGATTTTGAATCTAGGGAGGCATCTAAAAGAGGCTAAATTTAAATAAAAAATTTTTAGCCTGAAGTCAGCAAGCCATAATAAATGCCTACACCTTCTTTTGTTATAACAGGGAGACATTTTTAAATCAGCAAACCACTGTAAGATCTTTAAGAGAATCCTTTCAACACAGAAGATGCCATATGTGTTTTTAATGGATTTTCAATTGGGTGCATTAAGCTGGGTCTCTCATGACTGAAGTGTTCAGGAGGTGGGACATATTAACATATGAGCCACGAAATGTGACAGAGACAGAGGATCAGGAAGGAGAGGGTGATATTTTTACAAAGTACATGCAGATAGCAGCATTGAATTCTTCACAATCCTTTACCTTTTTATCTTTTATCTCTTCTTTTACTATACCATTTTAAACACACTTTTTCCAATAAAGTATGTTGGCTGAGAGCAATCAAATTTTGACTCCACTTTAATGGATACACGTTTTGGAGCAAAACATTTCAAATAGCTTGTTTTGAAGAGGACTGTGTAAAAATAACTCTTATAACAATAAAATAGCTTTAATAATGTGCTGTTTTCTATTTTATCTTGCATGTTTTGTACAATTTGTTTTAGAATTACATAACTGTGTTTTTATAATAGAATAATTTATATTCCTTTGGGTATATGCCCAGTAATGGGATTGCTGGGTTGAATGGTATTTCTGTCTTTGGGTCTTTGAGGAATTTCCACACTGTCTTCCACAGTGACTGAACTAATTTATACTCCCATGAATAGTATATAAGAATTCCTTTTTCTTCACGACCTCATCAGCATCTGTTATTTTTTGACATTTTTTTTTTTTTTTGAGACAGAGTCTCACTCTGTCACCCAGGCTGGAGTTCAATGGCACGATCTTGGTTCACTGCAACCTCTGCCTCCCGGGTTCAAGCAATGCTCCTGCCTCAGCCTCCCAAGTACCTGGGATTACTGGCACAGTCCCACCATGCCCAGCTAATCTGTGTATTTTTAATCGAGACAGGGTTTCACAATGTTGGCCAGTCTGGTCTCAAACTCCTGACCTCAGTTGATCCACCTGCCTCGGCCTCCCAGAGTGCTGGGATTACAGGCGTGAGCCACCACACCTGGCCTTGACTTTTTAATAATAGCCATTCTGACTGGCGTGAGTTGCTATCTCATTGTGGTTTTGATTTGCATTTTTTCAGTGATCAGTGATGTTGAGATATTTTTCAAATGATTGTTGGCCACATGTAAGTCTTCTTTTGAGAAGTGTCTGTTCATTTCATTTGCCCACTTTTTTTATGGCGTTGTTTGTTTTGCCCTTGGTAATAAGTTCCTTATAGAGGCTTATAGTTTCTTATAGAGGCTGGATATTAGACATTTATTGGATGCATGGTTTGCAAAATTTCCTTCCATTCTGTTGGTTTTCTGTTTACTTGATTGTTTTGCTGTGCAGAAGCTCTTTTGTTTAACTAGATCCCATTTGTTGATTTTTGCTTCTGTAGCAATTGCTTTTCTCATTTTCATAATGAAATCTTTGCCCATGCCTATGTCCTGAATGGTATTGCTTAGGGTATCTTCCAATAGCAAAACATGGAATCAACCTAAATGCCCATCAGTGATAGACTGGATAAAGAAAATGTGGTACATGTATACCATGGAACACTATGCAGGCATAAAAAAGAACAAGATCATGTTCTTTGCAGGGACATGGATGGAGCTGGAGGCCATTATTCTTAGCAAACTAACACAGGAATAGAAAACCATACACTGCATGTTCTCACTAATAAGAGGGAGCTAAATGATGAGAGCACATGAACACATAAAGGGGAACAACACACAATGGGGCCTTTCAGAGGGTGGAGGGTGGGAAGAGGGAGAGGACCAGAAAAAACAACTAATGGCTACTAGGCTTAATACCTGGGTGATGAAATAACCTGTACAACAAACCCCCATGACACAAGTTTACCTATCTAACAAACTTGAACTTGTACCCCTGACCTTAAAATAAAATTTAAAACAAGGAATTACATAACTGTGATTGTTTGAAAAACTGTTAAAGAAATAACTAAAGTATATATGGCTGTCCTTGACATTGGCAATATATTAAAATTGATTTTTTAAATATAAATTGAAAACCATTGGTAGTATTTAAGACCATGGCAATTTAAATATTTATATTTGTCTATTAAAATAAATTTATGTCAGCCTCTCTCTCTCTCTCTCTCTCTCTCTCTCTGTGTGTGTGTGTGTGTGTGTGTGTGTGTGTGTGTGTGTGTGTTGAGGGTGGTGTGTATCATGTACATGCATGTGTGCCAATGGTTGCTCTTTGGGGAAGTAACAGAAATTTAGAATCCACTCAGCAAATAAAAAATAAATACCATATTCACCTTATCTCTATCTGAAGATCAACTATGTACAAAAACACTAAAATCATTGTAATAACTGCTTATGTCTTAGAATTATAATAGTGTACTAGTGTAAATAGTGTGGTAGTACACATAATTTTTATACTTTCACTAGTCATGTCATCTTATTTTAAAAATAGCATTACAAACTATATATTGTCTGTATGGCATGAAGTTGGCAGTTACCTAAAATTTATTCCTTGGCCACAGTGTGTGCATTAGCACATTACTGGTGAAAATATCTTTCTAGCAAAAATTATTTTTTGTTTTCCTCAAGTGATTTATCCTTCTTTGAAAAAAAGAGTAAAAGAGTAATAAAAATTTGTTCCAAAGTGGTTTTGTGTTTGATATTTAAAAAGGAATTTCACAAACATTTTGTTTGTCACTACCTATGAATCTAACAAATGCCATGATTCTTTGTTAATTTAAAGAGTTCATACGACCATAATTAATTAATTAAGTAATTAATTTTCCTGAGTGCCTATGTGCTGAAACCAAGCTGGTTACTAGGGTTACGAAGTTAATAAAGGCGTTGTGTTTGCCTTTCAAATGCTCAGTCTAGTGAGTATAAGGTTATTAATGAGCAGTATTTCAAATATGTGGATAAGCAGTCAATTAATGGATGCATGTATGTTTATGTTCAGTGATTATCATTCTTGTTTGCTCATATAAATCACCTGTCAGGCTGACAACAAAGATAGCTAGGCTTCAACTCAGACCTCTATTATAATTTCTTAGGATAGATTCTGACCTCCAAATGCAATTTTAATGCACAGCCAGTGTTGTGAATCTCTGGTCTAGACGTTGATCAAATACAAGGTCACTTTTATCAAAGTGGTTAATATATTGGGCCACTGTTGATTCAGCTTGTTTCTCTTATTCTAATAGTGACAGAAGGTGAAGTCTTCTGTACTCTAAATTAAAACAAAATGGGAAGATGCTAAAGAATCCTCAGTGTATAATTGCTTATTTGTTTCACTGCCCATATGCAGCATAGGAAACAAATATTTCAATATGTTGAATTTGATTAACATGAGGTTAAAAGTTACCTCTACATATCTGTAGTAAGTTGATGTTACCTTCTAGAGCAAATTGTAAGCTAAAAAGGTCTTCTTTATCACAATTTTGAATATATGAGTCAAGTACATTATAATTTTTTAGTCTTTAAATATGATCCTCAAACGTAAAGATCTTATATGTACATAGAAAGCCATAACCTCCATGATGCTTCTACATTATTTCTCTGAAGCAGTGATTTTGAAATATATAAATGACAAATGACTAATTATATGCATGAAGTCTAAGAACAAGTGAATTATAAACCTGTTTAATCTACATAGAAATTATGCAGGAAACGTCACAATAAATTGGGCAGACTTTTATTCTTCTGAATGGCACCATGGCACAGTTAAACACTTAGAAAAAGGCACAATTTAGTTTATTTTTTAGAAACAAAAGTTTCAAATCTTGAGAAAATTAGTTGATGTGTCATTTCATACCTTAGTAAAAAAAAGTGTAGAGTTGACACAGAGGAAAAAAACCACAAAAAGAAAAATGAAAATATCATGTGTCTTGAAAAACAGTTTATTAATTAGGCATTACTTTCCAATTAGGCATAAAATATAACTAAAAATATATAAATCTAAACTTTGTAAACTGAATTTCTCTATAAAATTACTTTTATACAAAAAGCAATTATTATATGAAAAAGAGAAAAGCATTTAATAATGATAGATTATCCGTTAGAGTATTGATAACTGATGAGATAGTATAAAAATATCTTTTAAAACTCAGTAGCTTTTAAATATTTTTCTTATTTATCTGTACAATAAATTTCTGGAAGTAGAATTACTGACTTTACTACACATCATGAAAGCTGACTTTTAAAAGCTATTCTTTCAGCCGAGGGAATATAGTGAGACCTTGTCCCTACAAAAACTAAAATAATTAGCTGGGCATGGTGGTGCACACCTGTAGTCCCAGCTACTTGGGAAGCTGAGGCAGTAAAAGAGGTTGAGCCTGGGAGGTTGAGGCTGCAGTGAGCCGAGATTGCACTAGTGCACTCCAGCCTGGGTGACAGAGTGAGACTCCATCTCAAAATAATAATAACAATAATAATAATAATAATAATAATAATAATAATAAACAAAAAAGTAAAAAATAAAAGCTGTTTCTCTTTATACTACCAGAAGTTTTTCTTGGAGTTTCTTGGTGGAAGATCATTATAAACAATAAATAGCACTATATTTTTCTTTTTAATATTTATTCTTTTCCCCTGTACTATTGTTGTAAATGAAATGTCTAAAACAATTTTAAACAAATTGTCCTTAGCTTATTATAGATTTTAATGGAATTGCCTCCAGTGTTTCTTTGTGAATTACGCTGTTGGCTGTTGGATCGGTGCACAAAGGGATTTATGTTCAAGAAGGTTCATTATAGTTTGTTTATAATAGCATAAAAATAAAACCATTCATTAATATTGGATATCTAAATGTATTATAGAATGTCTATGTGATGCAATATTATGTAGCTATCAAACATCCTATTTGAGAAGAGTATTTAATAAAATAAAAAATGAGCACACAGAAAAAAGATTGAAAGAATATGCACTGAAGTAACACTTATTATCATTGAGTTGGTAGGATTATAGGTAATTTCTATTTTTCTTCTCTATTATATCTTTATTCATCTGTATTTTTCAAACGTTCTACAATTAATTTATACTATTTTATAGTCAGAAAAGGATCAATTACCAACAATTAAATAACAAGTACAAGTTATTTTTGAGAAATATAATATCCAAATTGAATTATAGCTGAAGAAACTCTTGGCTTATTAATCAGTCAATCATAGTTGGATGCTTCCACTAAACTATATAGTGATGATGAAATGTAAATATGTAGTCGTACTGCTGCCTTTAACTTCAGACTATTCCCCATCATATGTTAAACTGTGCTAAATATCCATTTACTTATGATATTAGGTTGGTGCAAAAGTAATTTTTAAAAGTAATTTTGCCATTACTTTTAATCGCAAAAACCACAATTACCTTTGCACTAACATAATATAATAGCTTTATCATATACTATTTCCTACATTTCAAAGTATTTAATCCCCACACCCATCTTCTCACCCTTTAGTCCCACAGTTAAAAGGAATTAGAGTTTTACCATCTTTACATGTAAAACATCTACACATTTGTTCTCCATCTCCTCAACTCCTACTTCTTTACAAAACTTACACTCCTGATTATCTTAGTTCAAACCCCAATTGCTAATTTCTAGTCAACTGCCTTCAATTTTGGAGTCGTTGTAGAAAATATACTCTACTTGATCCCCTCCACCATCTCATTCGTTAGTCCCTATTTTCATTTCCCACCTCTACTACCCTAGTCCTGGCCCTTATCCCTTATTTTGTTCTTAATTCAATGTTCTGGTTCTCCTAGCTGATTTTCCTACTTTAAAACTTGCCTTCCATTTTTCATTATAATTTTTAATTAATCATCTCAAAATATTTGTTATCACATTTTTTTCTACTCAAATATTTTATACACGCACACACACACACACACACACACACACACACACGCACATAGAGGAACCTGAGCTGAGTCACAATGACTCTGTGGAATTTAATCATGTTATGTAAATAGAATGGCAAAGAGCAAGTCTCCACTATAAAAAAATATGAATGAATTTGTAGAAACTAAAACCAGCATGCTGTATAGTAGGAAACTGCAAGCGATATGATATCTCTGAAGCGTAAACTATGACCCAGGGATGAATGAGACCTCAAGCTGAAAATTAAGCACAAGACCACACCATGGAGAGTTTTGTTTAGTATACTAAAAAACGGGTATTTATACTGAAACTTATGAGGATCCAATGAAGGATTTTAAGCAGAGGAGTGGGATGATGAGATTTGCAAGTGAAATAGAATCTTCATTGGCTATGTGGAAGCTGACTTGAGTGAAACAAGATTAGAGATATGATGAATGCCAGCTAAGCAGCTATCTCAGTTGTCCACATAAAACACGAAAAGAACTTAAAATAGGATACAGGAGTAGAGATAGAAGCAATAAATGCTACTCTTGTGTTTAAGAATACAGAATTTGGAATGTAAACATTTGTATTTAAATAACAGCTTTACCAAATAGTATTTGTGTGACATATAGCAAGACAATGAACCTTCCTGAGCTCCATTTTCCCCATAAGTGAAATGGGAAAAATAGTACCTGTAGTATGAAAATTAAATGAGTTAATACTTTTTAAATTCTTGGCACCATACCTTGCATGTAGTACATTTTGAAAAATATTATCTGCTATCATTTTCATTATTTTAAAAATATTTTAAATGTAAAGTCAGAAAAAAAAATGTTGTTGAACAATTGGAATGAAGGGGAGGGGGAGAGAAGGAAGCATAGGATGTTACTGAGATTTTTAACTTGAGTGACTTGAATGAATGGTGACTCTATCAGTTGAAGTAGGTAAGAAACCAGATTTGGGAAAAGGAAGTTGAAGGGAATCAATCCAATTTAGAGCGAGTAGAGCTTGAAGTTCCATGGACCAGTGAAGGGGAGATGTTTATAGGAGAACTTGATGTATCAGTCAAAATCTCAGGTGAGAGACCAGGACTGTATATGGAGATCAGAACTCATCAGGATATAGGTTATATATAAAACAACAGAGAGAGTATAAAATGATGAGAACAGGCTGAGGATATAACTCTAAGAAAATTAACACTTATGCAGTGGACAGATGAAATTACCACACAGAAAAAGAAATGGAATTACCAGAAGGCCAAAAAAAATCAGAAGGGAATATCATCATGCAAGCTAAGAAAATAGAACTTCAAAAGGAGTGAATGAATGAGGAAAAATGTCAAATAGAGCAGAAAGATGGAAATAAAACATGTCCATTGAGTTTGGCAAATAGGAGGCCACTGCTAACTACATGAGACATATGAGTAGTGAATGGAGGGGATAGAGACTAGATTAAGATGTTTTGAAGAGCAATTGGGAATTGAGGAAGTGTAGGTGGTTGACGTAACATTCCCATTTGAGCAGGACACATGAGAAACACTATTCCAAAAATAAATATAAAAATTTCTTTCATTTGTTTTTTATTGCCTCCACAAAATTGTCAATAACATGGCCCTAACATCTTCTTAAATGTGTCTCAACAGTAGCTGAAAACATTGCTCCAAAAATATGACATATGTTTTAGCTTATTTAATTCCTACCAACTGGGACTTTTTCTTTCTCTCCATTTTTCCAAATCCTGCATTAGGGACCAAATCATGTTCAATCTCTTCCACGAATCTTTCCCAATTTACTCTAGCCCTTAATGGCTTCTTCAAACTCAAAAATAGGAATTATTCCCATACTGTCTTGTATTTTAGGTATTTATTTTCATGAATGTATGCCTGGCGAGCCTAAGTAGTATGTATTCTGAAACCAGTCAAATAAAAATTAAATTAAATTTTGTCTTTACGTTTTATCTTGGGATACCTATTTTAATTAGTTATCTTTGTAAGATATCCATCCACATTCATGGAATGAAGTGTTTATAATTTCAAAGATCATAGAGTGATAATAGAGTAAAATGTCTAATATTAAAATCACATAATAAGTCATATTCTTATCATTTTATTATAAACATCCCCCTTAAAGTAATTTATTGGTAATTCAGAAAAGAGAGTAATACTTACATAATATCTCCCTATGCCTATGGAGAAAGAATGTGAAAAAGACATAAATCTTATGAGTTGATAAACTACCACTGAACGGTGGCATTTGAGGTCTTATTCCAGAGTCAGAAAGGCTGACAGGAAAGGACTGGGAAGTGAGAGTTAGGCCAATCTTGGTAAAATTCCAATCAGGCCACTTACCAATTACCTGAGCTTGAGCAAATTGCTGAAACTCTGAAACTCAGTCTCCTAGTTTTGTTTGTGATGTGCCAACATTACTTGCCTACCAGGTAGTTGGGCAGGTTAGTTGAGGTAACTGGTGAAGAAGGGGCATAATGCTCATCAAGTGCCTGTTATATCCCAGTCACATTTCATAGGTTATCTAATTTAATTTACACAACAAACCTGGGAGTTTGACATTATTTTTGCCATTTTTATAGTTAAAGATCCTAAGGCTCAGAAATCTTAAACAGTTTTATGCAAGGCCCAGCAGCTAAAAAGTCAGTGTTACAAACCATGTTCCCTGATTCTGAAGCTCATTCACTTCCTGAGGCCCCGGTGTGCCTGACACAGAGTAGACACACAGGAACAGTTTTCTCCATCTCTTTCTAATTTTGAGGAGAATCACTACAGTTACCATTTCTGAAATCGCCTTACTTGCCACTGAAAGCTGTCTCAGTTTCCTTAATTAAGTGCCATACAAAACCCATGGTTTTATGGAATTTGATTTCATGTGCTTATGAGCTATTCTAAGACATACTTGGTATAAATGTAGTTCATGAATTAGAAGTTGCATTTCAGAAACACAGGAGTCTTACAGTCACCCCCATATAATCATAAGTTGGACATTTTGGATACTTGCATAAAATCTTGAGATGTCTGTAATCAAAGGCCCATCATTTCAGTGTTTTATGAGGGAGCAAACCTAATTGTACAGCAGGTTGAAAGGCTTGTTTAGTTCCACAGTGTTCCCCATCATCCTGAAGCAGCTGGATTGATAGAATTGTGAATGGCCTTACAGGGATGGGGCAAAGTTCTCCAGAAGGCTGTGTATCCTCTGAATCACTGTCCAATATATGGTACTGCTTCCTCTCATAGCCAGGATTCACAGGTCCAGGAATCAAGTGGTGGAAGTGGAAGTGGCACCACTCACCATCACCCCTAGTAACCTACTAGAAGAATTTTTGCTTCCTGTTCCCATGACATTACGTTCTGCTGGCCTAGAGGTCTTAATTCCAGAGGGAGGAATGCTGCCACCACGAGACACAACAACAATTCCATTAAACTGGAAGTTAAGATTGCTACCTGGCCACTCTGGGCTCCTCCTACCTCTAAGTCAACAGGCTAAGAAGGGAGTTACAGTGTTTGCTGGGGTAACTGACCCCGACTACCGAGATGAAACCAGTCTACTACTCCACAATGGAGGTAGGGAATAGTATGCATGGAATAAAGGAGACCCCTTAGGGCATCTCTTGGTATTACCATGCCCTGTGATTAAGGTCAATTGGAAACTACAACAGCCCAATCCAGGCAGGACTACAAATGGTCCAGACTCTTCAGGAATAAAGGTCTGGGCCACTCCACCAGGTAAAAACCACGACCTGCTGAGGTGCTTGCTGAAGGCAAAGGGAATACAGAATGGGCAGTAGAAGAAGGTAGTTATCAATACCAGCTATGGCCATGTGGCCAGTTGCAGAAACAAGGACTATAATTGTCATGAGTGTTTCTTCCTTATTTTGTTAAGAACATGTTTGTGCATGTATACACTTGTACTAAGAAAATGTCTTCATTTTATTTCCTTTCTTTTTTCTTTATCATGTGACATAAGAGTCATTGATTTCATATCAGCATTTAACTATCGTTAACTTTATGTAATAACATTTAGGTTGGGGATTGGTGTGTTTCCAGTTATACAAAGGATAGCTCTATTATGTTAGGTGTAATTATTTGAAGATTTTATATGTATATATATATATAATTTCAGGAGATGTATATGGGTTCAAGTTGAAAAGGGGTGGACTTACAATGGTTAACATTGAGTGTCAACTTGATTGGATTGAAGTTTGCAAAGTATTGTTCCTGCATGTGTCTGTGAGGGTGTTGGCAAAGGAGATTAACATTTGAGTCAGTGGACTGGGAAAGGCAGACCCACCCTCAATCGGTGGACACAATCTAATCAGCTGCCAGCACGGCTAGAATAAAAGCAGGCAGAAGAAACTGGAAAGAATACACTGGCTGAGTCTTCCAGCCTACATCTCTCTCCCATGCTGGATGCTTCCTGCCCTCAAACATCGGACTTCAAGTTCTTCAGCTTTTGGACTCTTGGACCTTCGACCACAGACTGAAGGTTGCACTGTCGACTTCCCTACTGTTGAGGTTTGGGGACTCGAACTCGCTTCCTTGCTCCTCAGCTTGCAGTCAGCCTATTGTGGGACTTCATCTTGTGATAGTGTGAGTCAATACTCCTTATTAAACTCCCCGTAATATATACATCTATACTATTGGTTCTGTCCCTCTAGAGAACCCTAATAAACGTGGTATTGGTAACAATTATGAAAAGTTCTCATTTTACAAATGCTTTTTGAAAAGTCATCTCATTGAGGTTCTGAACAATCCATCATCCCCATTTAACACAAGAAGAAATTGAGTCTCAGACAGAGAAGATGATTGATTTTCCAAGGTCACAGTAGATATATTAGATAGGAAAGCTAAACCTCAACAATGGTCTGGCTCCTAGAATGGTATTATTTTGGTTAGCTTCACTTTTTCTTAATTTTAATAGTATTTAATGCCATTTCATACAGTTGTTACAGTGTTGTCACATAGTAAATAGAATGTGCATGCAGTGGTAAGAATCCTGAACTGAAAGTCAGGAGATTAAAACTCATCACCTGATTCTATTAAAATCTAACTGAATAACCGTGGGCAAGTCATGCACACATTCTGACTCTTATCTTCATCTGACATTTTATGATTCTACCACTTAGTCAATATTGTCAGTAATTTTCACTATCATTAGAAGACAAAACTTTATATCAGCTATATTTAAAAGTACATTCACCTACAACTGGAAAGGCTTTAAAGTTACATTACTGCCCAGAGCTATACTCAATATTTCTACTCAGGCTCCCATAAAGAACACACATGGCAGGGTTTAGGAAGCAACATTCCTACCATGCAAGTGAGCTCTAATTAAGCAGTTAATAAAGTAGAATCACCTAGACTGTTGATCTGAGATAGCTTTGGTACAGGAGAATGAACAAGAAATTGGCTAAATTCGGCTGGGGCAAATTATTGAGCTCTCTGAGAGCTCAATCTTTAAAATGAGTATGATACCAATGATATCTAGCTCGTAATATTATAAGAAGATTAGATGAGTTCATCTATGTAGAAGAAGTCTTATACTTATTGACTCCTTTATGCTGTGCTATGTACATTTTTTTATACTATCTCATTTACTCCTCATGATCCTGTTGATTAGACATCTTGATATCACTAGAAAGATGAAGATCCTGAGGTTCAAAGAGGATAAAGACCATGCAGCTAAAACCTGCAAATCCAGATTTGGAAAAAAAAGGTCTGTCTTTAAAGCCCAGTCATGTCCCACCACACCTTGCTTTTCAGTGTGCCTAGCACTATGCCTGGCACCTAGCAAACACTCACGGAATTTTCCTTGAATTAATCCTTCCCTCTTTTTCTCCTTTTTATAAATTCTAATTTCTAGAACTTAATGTAGCAGAGGCATTTGATGTGTGTTCCCTAAGTGGACGTAAGGAGTTAATGCAGCTTCCTAAATAAATGATGAACTTTGCCTCTTTGGAACAAAATGTATTTATAGTATGGCATTGTATATCTTTGACAATATTAAAAATTAATGTTGCAATTGTTACATATGAATTAAATAGTTAAATTAGGAAGCACAATCCAGAAACAAAATATATTTCCAATTTATGTTATATAAGCAAAAGTTAGTAATTCTGACTAAATTGAAAATTCATATTGTTTGAATTGATAACTTTCCTTCCCTTCTATAGATATCTGATGATCCATATTTGATATATATTTCTGGTGATTACCAAAAAGTCTAATCAGGCTAGGTAGAAATTCATAGCTATATTTAATGTATCAAAATGCTCCTTTTCATTATAAATTGATGTCAAAATTACTTTACACTTAGATTTGGTGATGCATATATATTCCCTCCTCCATCAAACTCATCCTGTGACTTACCAAACTGCAGGACATTAGAATCATATTATATTTTAAAGATTGCAAAGGCAGAATGGAAAACAGAGCTAGGGCTTGCAACACAATATCTGCAGAAAGTTCAGTTAAAACTTTTTGAATAGCTACTATCTTCAAAGTTTGTCCTGGGTTCATATATTAGAAATGGGAGTAGGTGAAGGAAGAAAGACTTCCTTGTGTATGCTATTTGCATTTCCCAACTGATGTGTTCATAGGAAATTATGCTCCATGGCAAATATCTGCTAATAATAGCAGCTTCCAGAATGAATGTAGTGCTTGCCAACTTTATGAAAATCTAATAAAAATAATCATATACAAGATTATCTGCCTGAGCTTAAATAGAAGAGAATGCATCTAGGAAGGTGCAAAGAGTGTTGGGAAAATATAATTGAACTTCGTGTTTTATAGAGCAGAGGAGAAATGTAATAGGTTAGTGCTAAAAGGGAAGGGCCTATGGACTTCAAACCAGGAGATTGGGGAGCCATGGATCTGCCAGAATTCTGATGTAGTATAGTGGAAGGAGAACTTAAGAGTCAATCAGACTTAACTATAGACTGTCTCTCTGCCACTTACTAATGTTATAACCTCTCTGAGATAAAGAACTAACATAGGTATGGTACCTAGCACATTACCTGACATAAAATAGCTGCTCATTAAAGGTCAGTTCTTTCTCTGGGCCTTGGTTCCATCATTTGTCAAATAATAGAGGCAGACTAGGATACTACATGATCTTTAAGGATCCATTCCATCTCTAAAATAGAAGCTGAAGACAGGTAAAACAATAAATCTCATAAAGATTATAGGTAATACTACAGTCTTGAAAATTAGGTCAGGCAGTATAACATAACCAGAAGACTAGAGAGCATTCTCAATATAAAATAAGGCCAGGTGCGGTGCGGTGGCTCACTCCCAGCACTCTGGGAGGCCCATGTGGGTGGATTGCTTGAGTCCAGGAGTTTGAGACCAGCCTGGCCAACATGCTGAAACCTCATCTCTACTAAAAAGACACACACACAAAAATAGCCAAGTCTGGTGGCACGTGTCTGTAGTTCCAGCTACTCGGGAGGCTGAAGTGGGAGAATCACCTGAGCACAGGAGGTTTACACTGCAGTGAGCCGAGATTGCACCACTGCACTCCAGCCTGGGTGACAGAGAGAGACTCTGTCTCAAAAAATATATTTATTACTTAATTAAGTAAGTAAAATATTTCTCCAAGACCAAAACAAAAATTTGTTCCTATTAGAAGAATACACTCTTCATCTTTTTCTTTTTCAAATTGGGACATAAATTTAAGTTCTATTAACTGTATTTTAGCTTTATATTTATATATACTATGTACGTGTATTACATACACGTACATAATATACATATATACATATACATAATATACGTGTATATGTATATAATATGTATAATATATAATACATAACATATGTATATGTATATATGTATAATGTATGTAATGTTAAGTGTATTACATATTATACATGTAATATGTAAATATATGGAATGTGTAATATAATGAATATATGATACACATAAATATATACATATATAATATAATATGTATTATATATAATATCAGTATTATATACATCTGTACAGAAATCAAACTTACATAAATATCTTTCTGGACTGTTAGGTTTCTTTGGGCAAGGGGAAACCTCATGTAGAATATATAAAATTATTTGATATTTCTGTCAGAGATGAGAGAAGGTGTTAAAACTTGGGGGCATGAATATGTGAAACCTTCAGAAATGATAACTTGTGCAAGGACCAATCCTAGGCATTACCAGGGAGAGGCAAACTAATAAATATGTAGGTTGATGAAACTGAGGAAATGTCCGAGAGAATCCATAGTTTTGATCTTTTGTATCCTACCACTTCTTTCTCTTTTCCTGTTAGGCTTTTGATCTTTTCAGCACTAGCACCCTCTCCCTGTCTCAATCTCTTTTTCCCAACACTCAACCACCTTGTATAGCTTTAGCTACACAAACTATACTTCTCTCAATGTGAAAAATGTATTTTCAGAATAGCAGCTTATGTGGTTAAATAAACTTTACTCTCCACACAGTGTATATAGACATTGTGATGAGTACAGTGACCACCGCTCAGGGAATGAGAGAGTTCAGGTGATTTGACTGAAGTATACCACAGAGTAATACTGCTAAGAAAGGCATAAAAATGTATTATAAGGGAACATGATCAGAAAACTGTTTTCCTGAGTAAAAAGAGTCACCTTATCCAGAAAGTGTGTAGTTGACTGAGATTTTTTCTCTTATTGGATTAACAGAAATTATGTGAGTCAAGGTGCATGCCCCTATGTGAACATAGGGTCACAAAGGGTGCCCAGAGGATGAGAAGGTCTGAACTACAGCATGTTTCTTTAATGTGTTAATAGGACAAGTCTCTATCTGTTAGTATATCCAACACTTCCCATGTCTATATGTGGTAGCCAATCTGGGGTTCTAACACATTCTACATGCCAGACTAACCTAAAAAAGGATATGTTGCAAGTCTATTTTCTGAGTTGTCTCTTGGGATTCTGATTTCATATCAGAAGGGACATGGTATTTTTCTCCATGAAACAAAAAAAATGGACCATGAAATTTGAAATTTCATACATAAGCACAGTGATATTTGAGGTAGAAATAGAGTTAAGGCATATTTGGAATATTGTTATTGTACCTTTTCAGTTAGACTCATTTTAGATATAATTGTTTCTAAGAAATAAATCGGAGTAAAACATACTTTTGGCCTCTATCAGATTAAAAGGGAATAAGAGGGGTGCGTTTATGAATAAAAATCTTTCCGATGCCCTGATGGAAGCACTTCAAGAAAATCTAAAACACCACACAAACATAAAAGCAACATTTGTTCACTAGAAATATGGTAATGTACTGTTCTTGCTATGTTTTTCATGTTATTGAGTCCTTAGTCTTGTCTTCATATCTAGTCTTTCACTATATTACCCCTTTATAATGACCCTCTATTACCAAGGTATGTGCACTGAAGAAAATAGTCACCGACTTTAAGAATGTTAATAGCTGCTTTTATTTTATCTGGGATGATTGAAAATTCTCTATAGTTGTAACTGAGCAAAAGAAACATTATTTTCCTATTCATGATGGTGTTCATTTCCTTTACAAAAAGAGGTGACATAAGTCACGATTTTTTATAAAACATGTACCATGGAAATGTCTTATCCTAAAGCTGGCGTTAAGAATCTCCTGATATAAGATTGTCTAGGAAAGATATGAAAGAGAAACTAAACAAAACAAAACCCCAATTTCCCAGAATGTTTCCTACATATAATTTAGAAAGACTTTTTATGTCGTAGTAAGAACGAAAGTAAAAAGGGCTAACTTAAGAACTCGGTGGTTTATTTTTATCCGTTCTATTTCTAGGAAGCAGGTAGCATATTTGCTTTCAATGTAAGTGCCAAGAAGTTCATTCCTTAAAATTTTATATATATATAGTCAGTTTTGAGTAGGGATATGTAGTTTCTGCATTTTCAGAGTAGCTCTGCCATGTTATAATTTGGACATACATATATGTACATTTGATATCCCATGGTTTCTCCATCTGTTCATGTTTTCCCGAAATTGATAACTTTGATTTTCAGCAGAGGGGCGGAGAGACACAATGATTTCTATTTGGGGTGAACATTTCATCTCAGTACTTCGGCGACAGGATTTATGTCTACACAAACACATCCAAACCATAGTCGTCAATATAGATTTGTGATTATTCACCACAGAAAATGTCCCTCTATTGAAGACAAGAATGTCTTTTTTTCTCGCCATATAGCATACTGGGAATATTTTTCTTTGAAGAAATCACACACTGAGATGCTTCTTGTGCTAAAATGCCTAAAAGCGCTTGCAGTGAGCCGAGATCGCGCCACTGCACTCCAGCCTGGGCGACAGAGCGAGACTCCATCTCAAAAAAAAAAAAAAAAAATGCGGTTCTCTCACCCCTTTGTATATGGACTATATCCAGATCAATAAATGCATTAAATTTTTCCTTTGATACTTTTTGAGTATAACTCATGGACAAAAGGAGTAACAACAATCAAAATATCCAAAATAGAGATTTAAAAATCTTTCTAGAATTAATGAAGAAAAGCAATGTAACAATTTTCTGGGAATAGTTTCCAGAAACTGATGTTTACAGGTTATATGACCTAGTCATTTATTTGAAACATTTTAATTTTATAAGAATTATGTAAGGTTGATGCTAAGATTTGAAAAGATATGGAAGGAAATGATAGCATGCCGACTTGTTTCATTTTTAATAAAATCAGGTAGCATTTCTTCATTTTTGTCATATACTCTCTGGTATTAAAATTGTGTTCTTGGCCGGGCGTGGTGGCTCACGCCTGTAATCCTAGCATTTTGGGAGAATGAGGCGGGCGGATCACTTGAGGTCAGGAGTTAGAGAGCAGGTTGGTCAACAGGGTGTAACCCCAGTCTCTACTAAAAATACAAAAATTAGCCTGAAATTGCTTGAACCCGGGAGGCGGATGTTGCCGTGAGCCAAGATCGTGCCACTGCACTCCAGCCTGGGCAACAGAGCGAGATTCCGTCTCAAAAAAAAAAAAAAATGTGTTCTTGTCCTATCTCCACAGTTGCACTTCAATATCGCCAATTGCAGTTTATTTTTGTTTTTGTCCTTGCAGCGGTGTCTTAACAAAAAAAAAAGTCCTCAAAATAATTCTGGTAAATTGTGCAGATTTATGGAGGCATCAAAGTGCATGCCATGATCAGGGAAGAGGGGGTAGCAGAAGAAATGACAAAAATATGAGGTGCATGGCAAGGTAGGAGATAGAATGAACAAGTAGAACTGGTTAAGATTGCAAAGTCCCTTGAAAAATATAAAAATTGAGGCTTTATTCTATGTGCAATGAGGAAAGAGAAGCTTTTCTGTCAGGCTTCACTGGATCAGACCTGTGTTTTAGGAGTATTATGGGTACAGGGTAGAAAATTGATTGAACAAATGAAAGTAGAAAGTAAGGCAACCTGTTAGTAGTGGAACAGGTAACTGGTGACTAAGACTGGAAAAAGGAAATGGCAACGGGACAAATGTCAGGGGTATTTTGGAGGTATTATCAACATAATATAGCTGTTGGCTTGGATGTGACTGAGGAGAGGAAAGTGTTGCTGACTTTAGGATGCTTCCTGAAATGGGTTAAGTACATGCATGCCCATACCCAATACATACTTGGGAGGTGGTTTACTAGTGATATTCTCTCTCTCTCTCTAACACACACACACACACACACACACACACACACACCCCTCTAATTATTATAGTAAACACTGAAATTTTATATTTTGTCACTTTTATGTGCTTTTTTTCTTTTTCTTTTTTTTTTTAAACCCTGATATTATATACTCACAAATTTTCTGCACTGGAAAAAGGAAAGTTGTTTGTTTTTTGTTTTTTTATTAAACATACTTGCAGTTCAACTCCTTGGACAGGGGGCTTTTTACAGTAATAGCAACTAGGGGAGAACCTTGGTCATCCTACATTTCTAGCCCCCTATACCCCATCCCTCACCATAACCATTGACCTTCTCCACATTGCCTTACTCACAGTAGGAGTTTGAGAAATATTTAATTTATCTTGTCTGAACTCATGGTAAACTCCATTATCGATAATGCTTTATCAAATACAGTGGTTCATAAATGATACCACATTACCAATATTCAAAAAATGTTAATACAATAAAACGCACGAAACTAAAACTTTAGTAAATATGACTACTTCATTGCTTTGGGTTAATCGAAAAAGATCAGTTACACCACAATGGTGGTGAACAGAAATGACAATATAAAAATTCTGGTTAATCCAGCACAGATAATGAGCTATACCATGAAGAATGTAGGATGTCATTGTGCTAAAAATATTTTAGGATCCTTGATGATGTTAATGAAACTAGTAGCCCCTGCTGACAAGAAGCACTTCAAAAAATATCAGAAGATGTGTTATTGCAATGCAGAAACAACTTTATTCATAAGTATTTCACTTAATACAGATTATACACACTGTATGCACTGAAATTACATCAAATACAACCAGGTGTTAGTATCTACATGTATTCCAGTTGAAAGATGCTCTATAATTAGTCATTCTAACATATTCATACAAAAACCTGTTCATTCTTTTTTTAAAATTACAGCTCCAAAGTAGAAAGCCAAAACAATATTTTAAAAGTGACTGTTATGAATCCTCTTGTATTTTAAATCTTCTTAATTTTAATGTTATACTGCTTTTCTTCAATGCTGTTCTTAGTACTAACTCTACCCAAAATCAGAAATGATAATAAACTGTATACATTGCCCAATCTGAAAATTGGATGTATCCTCATAATCATATTCCTATGATTTATGCCAGTCCAAAGTCCTCACTGAGCTGTTTACAAAAATGTTTGTTTATATATACATAGGTAGGCATGTATGCATGTATACAATTATGGTAAATCCATACCATAGCCATTTGATGAAGACATAAATTAAACCCATAAAGTTGAAGACACATGAAACAGCAAATCTGACATTGTACAGAAGACTAACAGAGAACTACTTCTTTCTTTTTATTTTCATAATTATTAAAATTAAGTAATGTAACAATGCAAAATAAAGAGGATTGTTTTAATGGACTTTTACTTGGATATATTTTAGTTATAACAACTGGGCAGAAGTTGGCTATTATGGAAAACAAATTTGTCTTTATTTGTGTGTGTGTGCAAGAGAAGCAGAATCTGTACTAGTACTTAGATAACAAAAATCAATTTAATTTTTTATATGTACTTTAACATTACTGGATCTGTGATCATTTGGGAAACAGACAAATAATTTTTTTAAAAGAAAAAAACATGAGGACATATACAGAATGTACTGGATATGACAAGGATTTTCTAAATGAAAGATTATATATGGGATGATATCAGGGATACTGGGTGATTATAGTTTAGAAACGAGGCATAATGGTGTAAAAGGGGACAATAACATTGTAAATGTAGATGCAAAATCTTTTAACAAGCTTTCTTTAGTTTGAAGTTTATCTTACTTTTTTCTGCTAGAAATTTGACAAACATAAATATGCACACATATATGCAAACATATCTGTGCTCACACATACACTAACCCATTTTAATACCAATACATTAGAACTGCTTAAACATCAAATTAATATGACATTTCCTCTAGACACACAATTAGGTATATTAACTTCTAGACATCTATCTTTCAGCTCAGACACCTAAAAAGATTTAAGTGTACATTCCCTCTCATTTCTTTAATTTGTGTGCATTTTGAAATAAATAAGTGTATGTCTTTATACACAACTAAAATGTATAAATGTAAAATTGAATTGCAGCACTGTGTGGAATTCCATTGTTAACTGTTATCAGTTATTCTAGATTCAGATAACGACAACTTTATATAGCATGTAAAACTCTTTTTTCTATCGAAAATGAAACTATTTACAATATCATTCTGTAGTACTAAATTCTGTGTCTTTATGTAGTCAAATAATTCTGTCAGGTCAGCAAAATATCCCTATATGTAGTAAAAAATTCTATTTTGCCTCCATATGTTTTGGTATCATGTAAACACAGTCATGATAACAATCTGGAAGATAACTCAGCAGTTTCTTTGGATAATTAAATTTGTGTAAAAAAACCAATTATTTGGCCAGGTGCGCTGGCTCACGCCTGTAATCCCAGCACTTTGGGAGGCTGAGGCGGGTGGATCACCTGAGGTCAGGAGTTTGAGAACAGCCTGGTCAGCATGGCGAAACCCCGTTTCTACTAAAAATACAAAAATTAGCCAGGTGTGGTGGCACATGACTATAGTCCCTCAGGAGGCTGAGACAGGAGAATCTCTTGAACCCAGGAGGCGGAGGTTGCAGTGAGCTGAGATCAGGCCACTGCACTCCAGCCTGGGAGACAGAGCAAGACTATGTCTTAAAAAGCAAAACAAAACAAAAAAGTAATTATTTAATCTGAGTATCATAAATGATGAGTATAATTTTCTGCAAAAAATACACTCAATTCATAGTTTTGAATAACAAGAGATGAAATAAATAAAAATAATAATAAAATATGGTCTCTCATTTCAGAGGTCACAAACTAGTGTTGAGAGTCCATGAAATTCCATTTTTGTGTATTTGTTCCATCCTTGAATATGAGACTATTTCTGTATTTACATGTCAAAAGAGCCAGTGCATTTAAAAAAATAATTTTAGTTGCTTCAAGTTTGTGTCACTCAACAACTATTCAAGTTGCATGTTTGAATTACTGAAAATATTTTTGGATAACGTAACAGTTGTTTATGATCAATTCTCTTTAGTTATAATATATCATTGAAATGGTGCTCTGCATTGATTTTGTAATTAAGGTTAGAACTGATATATAATAAGTAAATACATTTTAAAGTTTATTTTATAGATTTCTGTAAATAACATTTTTCTTTAGAGTTCAATATTTGTTTTACTTTTCACTACTACTGAATAGTCAAAGCCGTATTACTTAAACTTTTCTCTAATTGACTAATGAAAGTATTATTGTATCTAATGTTTCTTCCAAGTTTTAAGATAAAAAGAATGAAAATGTTTTTATTTATTTATTTAAAAAAATTTTTTTGAGATGGAATCTCACTCTGTCACCCAGGCTGGAGTGCAGTGGCGTGATCTAGGCTCACTGCAACCTCCCCCACAACCCCCGCCACTCAAGAGATTCTCCCATTTCAGCCTCACAAGTAGCTGAGACCACAGATATGCACCACCAAACCCGGCTAAGTTTTTGCATTTTTGATAGAGACAGGGTTTCAACCATGTTGCCCAGGCTGGTCTGAAACTCCTGAGCTCAAGCGATCCACCTGCCTCGGCCTCCCAAAGTGCTGGGATTACAGGCATGAGAGTTACTGCGCCTGGCCACTGAAAATTTTTTTAAAAGTCAACTGTATTCAAAAGATAGTAACATTTTATGAAGTAAATCAATATATAATTGGTACATATAAGGTTCTAGGATAAGGGATAAAGTACAAATATTTCTAGAAAATCTATTGGAATAGTTCATTTTCATTATTATGTCAATTTGACTACCTGAAATCTAATGAAATGTGATTTGTGATTTTTTTCACTTGACAAAAAAGTTTTATTATTAATTGGATATATTTGTGTATGTATGGATAATTAAATGTAATTAACTATTTCAAAAGGAACATTTAAAACAATTTCGGTTGCAAATATCTAGAATATAGGAAAATTAAAAGAGTTCTGAAAATTCTGGGAAATAATTATGTAACTAGGTTGTTCTAAGGGAACTTTTGGAAAATATTAGATGGTATTTTTTTAAAGTATAAAAGCTTTTTCATCAAGACTTGATATTTTTACTCAGGGGAGTTTAGTCTCATGGTGGAGATATGTAACATGCCTCTGTATTACACTATCAACTAATCAAGGTATGTTATTACATAAATTTGTCCAATCATACATCTATAAAAATAAACAATATGTTTAATAAATAAATCAGTCTTCAATACATGTAAAAAGTCCTGGATGTATAGTTTATAAAACAATAAGCATAATTCTATAATTTTAAAATGCACCACTTCAAAAAGTTATATAGCCTTCAAACAGAATTACTGTTATAAAGAACTCACTGCTCTAGCTTGAAATAAAAACAAATAATTTTAAAATTCTTCATCTAAAAGCTTTATACAATTTTCTAGATTTTTCTACAACAAATGTGTATCACATGTACAATAAAAATAGAAACCTATGGCTACTCTAGAATTTTAAAAGTCTACTCCTAATTCTAAATACATTAAACCAAAGATGTCATGTATGAACACGCACGATGTATGAAAAAATGCACTGTAGTTCTTTCTAAAAATACTAATTATATGCAAGAAATATAGCTTTGTATTATCACAGAATCTTTGAATATTCTAGGAAGCTAAGTCATATTTAAAATAAACACAAACTAAGCTTCATAAAAGCCAAGAAAATACGTTTATTACACAAAAGCACCTACAAGAAGCATTTATGGAATGTGGCTTAGATTTATATAAGATTACTCAAGGTCTGCTTGTCCTGTAGTGCTTCTGTTACACTCAGGCTGCACATCACATCTAGCTAGATATACAATTACAACATGGAATTCAACAGTGAGGAGTGCAGGTGACAAAACAGCAAAATGATGCAGTTAGTATTTCATGGTGAAATGACAAGGTTAGTAAATATTGATTGAATATAAACTCAACTTCTAAAAATTATTCTAAAGTATATATATATTTTCTTTTCTTTTCTTTTCTTTTTTTTTTTTTTTTGAGATGGAGTCTAGCTCTGTCGCCCAGGCTGGAGTGCAGTGGCGCCATCTTGGCTCACTGCAAGCTCCGCCTCCCGGGTTCATGCCATTCTCCTGCCTCAGCCTCCCGAGTAGCTGGGACTACAGGCGCCCGCCACCACGCCCAGCTAATTTTTTGTATTTTTAGTAGAGACGGGGTTTCACTGTGTTAGCCAGGATGGTCTCGATCTCCTGACCTTGTGATCCTCCCGCCTTGGCCTCCCAAAGTACTGGGAATACAGGCATGAGCCACCGCGCCCGGCCAAGTATATACATATTTTTATTCATAATGTGGACAGGGTGGTCAACAGAGAAAACAGACTTATACATGAAAGATGAATTAATGAATGAGATTAAAATTGTTTTATAATTTTTACATTTAAATCATTGAAAATAAAAAAGTGAGAAATATAATAGCTTAAATATCATATCATTAAAAATAAACTTGCATAATTAAAATAAAATGAGAATATATTTCAGTATTTTTTGTTTAATTTATGCACTATAGATTTTGATCAAATAATATTTCTTTGAGTGCTTGCAGGGGAGAAAGTATACAGTACACTGTAGCTCATCAGGTAAGCTACTTATAATTTAATGGACAAAGTTCACTACAAGTTCCTTTTATTTACTAGTTTTAAGATTTGCTATCTTTTTGTCTTTTCCTTTTCATGACTAGAATAAGAACCAGAGAGACCATCAAGGACATTTCATTGAGAATATTCCCGTAGTCGATGAATGACAACACAAAAGGTTGGAGATATCTGAGAACTTGCAAGGCAAACGTAATAATAATATCAATTAAATTAAAGATGCGACCAGGTCAACTGATAAGAAGGAATCAAGTAAGGAAATAAATATTTTTGTCCTCTGGCCTTTGTGGAAAACTAGTTTCAATGCCTTCCATGTTGTTCTCAAATAGAGATAATATTCTCTCAAACAAAAGCAAAGGATGGATCAAGAATAGTTACTAGTCAAAAGTAGAATTCATTTTCATCTATGGCCCAAATTTAAATACTGTTAAATCTCTGTACTATCATTGGCTTATATGGGTAAATATTTTAGCCCAAAGCAGAAGTCAGTTTAGAAGTTCCTTTCTCAGAGACGCTGCATTCTAAGAGATGGAGTCACAGCTTTAAAAATAAAGTTTCTATTTTAATCTTCTTCAAATACAGCACTCATAAAACCATTGAGGAATGCTTTTAAAGAAATTCTGGATAATTATTTCAAGGAATTTTCATCTTCATATATACAAAGGAGTGATTAGGACCTTTACTCATTACAGTTATGAAGGAAAGGTTCACTGAAATGGAAGAAAAACAAGGTATTCTCCCTTAGTTCAGTGTGTGCAGAAAAGGAAAGGAAAGGCCAGGCTAGTCATGACACAAGCAATAAAAATGCAAATGCATTTTTATAATAATTACATACACAAATGATCATGAAGCCATGACAGCTTATTATGGGACACTTCAACTTCTGATTCACTTTTCTGGGCTTCGTCATTTTATTCAAAATTAAATTGAGACTGTAGATTTTGGAAACCTCCACTCTAGGTATATCTTGCTACCTGCAGGGCACTGATTTTAGGAATATAATAAGTTGATTCAATTTTTACATTCCTTGGAATGATTTGAACTAAACTGAAATATTTATCAAGAATAAAAGGGGAGTAACTGCAAACTTGTTCTATGTGAATAACTTGTACAAGTGTGTATTTTAATTTCAAGCAACTTTTCTACAACAGTTGTTTAAGAGTATGTAATATAATATTGTAACTCACATGATATCTACCATAAGCAGTAAAAGTAGTTATACTCACAGTCATTATAATCAACTAAGTAATGTTTAAACAACCAGATAGCATGTACATTCATGGAACCTGACATATTGGAAATACAAGGGATTCTGTACGGAGTTAATGGGAACACTAAATTTTAACAGAAACTTGTTTAAAATATTACCTATATATTAAATATCCAAGAATTACACTAATTTGAAATACTGAACAGAGCATAAACCTTTTCTAAATACATTCACATCAAAGAACACTTCAAATAATACACTAACGTTAATGTACATACAAAACAGACCAAATCCTATTCACACTTTTAAAGGTAAAATGATACATAATTAACATTTGAATTAAAATTCAGGAAGCATATGCTATGTAATCATTATAAGGGTCCTTTGTACTCCCTTTTTATCCCAATAAACATGATTTTAAAAAATTCTGTTAGTACTGTTAGTAAGTCATAAATAGTTTAAGAATATAGCATAAAATTGGAACATGTCATTCTTTCCTCAATAAAATATAATGTACACAAAATATGAGGCATTTTCTCATTCGTGTAGGAAATGAGTTAGTTGACTTACTGTGAAAAGTGAATTCATTTTAAAGGAAAAATTACTCAAAGCAATGATGTATATTTAGTAATTTAATGCTAGAGAAATAAAACAGACTTATTTAAATAAGTTACTCTAGCAACCTCACATTTTTCTTAGGTAGTTTCAAAGTTGGGATAAAATCTTTTTGAAATCTCCTATCTCAATCGTTGTTTCCACCCTCATATGACTGGAATTATGTTTCGTAATATAAGAAATATCAATATACTTTTTTTCAAAATATCAGGGAGTATGAACTTTACATTCTCCTTTTGACAGATAAAAATAGAAAGGACCTCTTTCTTTGAAAATATTTATAGAAAAAGAAAACATTATTACAACAAAAATAACTTTTTTTCTTTTTTTTTTTTTTTTTTTTTTGAGACGGAGTCTTGCTTTGTCACCCACGCTGGAGTGCAACGGCACGATCTCGGCTCACTGCAACTTCCGCCTCCTGGGTTCAAGCAATTCTCCTGCCTCAGCCTCCCGAGTAGCTGGGATTACAGGCGCCCATTACCACGCCCGGCTAATTTTTGTATTTTTCAGAAGAGACGGGGTTTCGCCATGTTGGCCAGACTGGTCTTGAACTCCTGACCTCAGGTGATCCACCCACCTCGGCCTCCCAAAGTGCTGGGATTACAGGTGTGAGCCACCACACCCAGCCAAAAATAACTTTTTAATAATTAAAAGGAGTGGAACAGCATGAGTACAATCAACATAAAAACCTAGTAAAATTATTTTCTATCATTGAACATTTTTTTCTTTTTGAGACAGAGTCTTGCTCTGTCACCCAGGCTGGAGTGCAGTGGCGCCATCTCGGCTCACTGCAAGCTCCGCCTCCCGGGTTCACGCTATTCTCCTGCCTCAGCCTCCCGAGTAGCTGGGACTACAGGCGCCCGCCACCACGCCAGGCTAATTTTTTGTATTTTTAGTGGAGATGGGGTTTCACCGTGTTAGCCAGGATGGTCTCAATCTCCTGACCTCGTGATCCACCCGCCTCGGCCTCCCAAAGTGCTGGGATTACAGGCGTGAGCCACCGCGCCCGGCCCACTCAACTTTTAAGCAGAGTGGTGGGTAATAAAAATGATTTTCTCAGCAATATTATGTTAGTGAATATTTTCAAAACACTGAACCAGAGTGTTTTGGTTTTGTTTTTTGTTTGTTTGGGGTCTTAAAAATGTCTCTTGCCCTGGATACCTTTCAGAGAGTAGTTTGGCTAGTTCAGCTCACTTCCAAACTCCTGGAGATAATGTTTTAATTATTCAACAATCAGACAGGGCAAGTAATTGCATGTTTCATGACTGATATATTAACCATAAGTGTATACACCAAGACAGCCTTATATTACATCATGGCTGTTGATTCAGAGCAAACAGAGAAACAGCATGAGAGTACTCTGTTATTGTGCTGCACTGTCTCTTCCATAAATTTTAAATTTCCATTGCCAGATTACAGCTAAAGAAAGCACAAGGTTCACTAGGACATCATTTTTAAGATGATTTTTGCTTGCTTTTATAATGGGAAATCTAGATTACAAAATTAATGATCTTAGCCTAATTTTGAAATCACAATCATTGAAATTTTTTGGAAGGGGAATGGAATTTTGTTGTTCCTAGAAAGTTATATCTCACTGCAGATTTCAATAGTTGATGTCCTGGAATCAGTCTAGGACAAGAAAAATAACACGTTATCAAAATCAGATGGTTGTGTTCTAGGAGTTTCATTTGCCAAGCATGCTTCATGGTTAAAATTTGCATTACCAAAATATAAATGCAGAGTCAAAGTTACTGAATTTTACAATAGTGAATACCAATCCTATTCCAAGCTAACTCAGACTGCAATTATCATTTCAAATCCATGTATCATATCTACAGGATGGTTTCATGCATGAATTAGAACTGTCTAAAGTTTTCACCATTCATTCACCTCATTTCTGAAACTGAAAGACTATTCCAACTCAAATCACAGAAACTTGTAAGGTTTTTTGTTTGTTTGTTTGTTTTTTGGAAAATGATGTACCCCAAATACTTGTCTTAGACAGTGACTGGAAGACCTTCAAAAAATTCTACTTTCATTTTTATTCTCCTCTCTATTTTTTTAAAATGTATAGTCTTCACAATATTTAATGGGTGAATTGTATTAAGCAAGACTTGGTTTTGGCAGTTTATCTCTTTTATATGACATTGATCAAAAGTGATTTTAAAATAATTATTTATACTTATGGTTTCTCTAGTGTCATAACAACCAATTGCTATCTGCTTGTTTTGAAAGGTGTTAATAGAAGATAATGTGTAGCCTCATCCTCTCAAATTTCATGTTTTTAAAATTTCTACTACAATGTATACAAAAATGCCTTCCATAATACATGTAGAAACGTATGCCAAAGACGACCATTATATTCCCCAGGTATAGATGGCTTTATGCAATATATGTACTCCTATCTAATAAATGTTCCATATATTTTCAGAACATCCAAGTCAGAAAAACAACCTATAGAATGATCAAGGAGAATGAGAAATTATGAGAACTAGAAAGTATTTGATTCCCTTTATAAAACATAAAATTTCAGATGAATTCCCTTGTCTCTTATAGTCTACTAGAACATTTTATTTTCCACTTTCCTGTTTCTATTCAGACGAGTAATGAACTAAATGTAAATATTCCCCAAACCCTCATTTTGAAAATGCATTTCTCACTGTTTAAAATAAATTGGAATAATTCTGCCTTCTGCTAACAGTAATATTTTATTCCACTCTAAGTATTTCCTTAAGGAACAATGAATTTGTATTGTATTGGCTGTCACTTCTCCCATTTTGTATGATATTTCTTTAAAAAGAAGACACCTACTGCATTTGAATTTTTAAATACATAATTTCTTTTTCAGTGCTCACTTATTTTGCTAGCATTCTGCAACATCATTGAACACCCTAACATTAAACACAAATTGAAGAGCATATAGAAAAGGTAAAGAACATTGCAAATGTAGCACAAAATGTAAAGATTCAAATTATTTTTAGTATCATATTAGTCTGCCTAAGTTCACCAATTCATGTCTTGAAGATATTTAGTAATGAATATGAAACAACTGTGAACCAATAATAAAATATATAATTTATTTACTTTTTAAGCTGTGAAATAAATAAGTCATCTGCTAATTCAATGATTCTAAGATAGTCCTTTCAGTTAATAAAAACCTGATAACAACCAATAACTGATTCTCATTAGCATTTACTTTTTTGTATTTTGACTAATTCTTATGATTCAGAAAATGTCTCTTAGTTATATGATATAAAATGCGTCATGGAAAAAGGTTTATTATTTTTAATGACTTTTTAGGATTACAAAATATTTTTAAAAAAACAAAAAAGTGAGGATATTTGAAAAATACTTCAGTTTTTTGTTCTTCATCCATGCCCTCCTTGCTATGTGTTCATAAACTCAAGTAAAATCAGTCTAGCTCATAAAATATCTCTGTGCCTTCAAAAAGCACTGAAACCAGAACTTGCTTTATTAATTAACTTCATTAAATCTATTAAAAATGATGATCTACATATGTAATTCACAAACCCACTCTTTGTACACTTCTTAAAGAAAGTCACAAATTAAACCCAGGAAAAAATGTTATTATACCCAAATCATGTAGTGTTAGTCATAAAAGATACTTTTATGTTGAGAAACTTATCCAATAAGCAGAATAGCAATAAGAATTTGAAAATGAGAGTGCCCTTTTTAATGGTTAAATATAAACAAAAACACACCCTGTGGAGATGTTCGACATCTCTTAACGTTTGTTGCCCATCCCAGATCCACTAACTATGTAAAATATGGGATTCATCTAAACTGTAGAAATAACAACTGCAGCGTAAATTCTTTTAAAGTCTAACAGAAGCTCTCTATACAGACACTAGGGTTCTAGTTTACCTTTTGAAACAGCATTTAATTGTGTACCTACTGTAACAAAAATGCACCCACATCTGAATTAGTACCTTACGTTCATTGTGTGATTCAGAGAGAAAAGTTAATGTTATCGTATTATATAACTGCGCTTATGCTTGAATGACCTCCATTCTTAAACCCATTTCCAAAGTTATGGTAAACTATTTGCATTGCTATCTTGAATGCAGTAGCCTTCTTTAATATCTCGAACTTTTGGTGAAAGAAAATCAGTTTTGATTTTCACATTGCTACTATTTTGTTAAGCCTGAATAGGTGTTCAAAAGACTTTATTCCCTGAAACTAAGATTAATACTTTTTTAAGAGTTAACACAGACAAAATAATAAACTCAACATGTAGCATGACTTCGAGAAAAAAATGTGGGTAAATTCCATTGCTTGTCTTTTTAAAGGGAACAATTATATTTAAATCATTCAACATTTAAGAGTTTCTGGATAAATTTGTATTCATTTCTTCATGGAACACTGATAAAAGGCACTGGATAAACTCTTGCTTTCATAAATGTATTGGGTTTTAAGTTATTGTGCACAGATTTCTTGGGTCTTAACATGCCCACAGTTTTCTTTGTGCCTATTAGAGAAAGCAAACATTTTATTTTCCAAAAGTTATTATCTTTTAAGAATGTCTTCTGAAGGGCTCAAAATACCTTGCATAAATATGCAAATATTTAAATAGCTATCCAGAGACCTCATATATATTTCATTCTCTGGCTTAAAGATGAGAATGAGTAGGCTTTCATTTTTCTAATCCCATTCTTGTTATATTGTGTGACTGTAGATTTGATGCACCAAAATAATTTTGAGTTCCTAATCTGAAAACGACACTTTTCTTTATGAGGACCTGAAGGCCTGGTAGAGTATGGGGGGAATAACTTGGTGCTGAATTTCTGTGAACAGCCACAGATTTTCCCAAGTGAAGCTAGGCTTCTCAATATCATTAGTATTTAGAGCTATTTATCAGATTCTGAAAAGCTTTAATGTGATGTATCTAGCCCAGACTATTCTGATCCTCATGCACACAATGGTACTGAGGACAGTGCTACAACCCTTTGTGTTGAAGTTTTTTTCAATATATTCTCTAGCAAGAATTGTCATACTGCCATCTACAGACAAAATTGCCCCTACTATAATTATTATTCTGCATCCAATTTTCCTAAATCAGTAGTTATTTTGTTCTCATCTTCTACCAAACTTAATTGAATCCATATATCTATTGGGTACATCTGTAGAATATGATTGTTTTGATCCCTCTTTGAAGTCAATAGATTTTGTAAAGTTCTACATCAACTGAAAATAATAATAAAAAAATAGTTAGAAAGTTGTGTTAGAAACTTGGATACCTACCGGTCTGGTGTGTACGGACACAGGTACCTCGAAGGTCGTCACTGGATAGCCACAGTCAGAAACGCTGTAGGGATCTGAACTGCTTGAGGAACACTTGGAGATAGAGTCACAGGCCACAAAGGTGTTATCGAGAGGCAGTTCTTGGATGATGTGGTGCTTCGAATTCAGGGGAGTTTCAGGCTGAATTTGGAAGGCAGGCTGTGGAGAGGCAGATTTGTAGTGTCGGGCCAAATCAGGGCTGTCGGGCTTGAAAGTAGTAGGTGTAGTTACCCAATTGTACTTTCCCATTGTTTGCTCTTCTAGATCAATAGGAAGGTCTAGTGTGACTCTGTTTCCATCACTGTCAACATCATCTGCCTTAGTTTCTTCAATAGTGACAAAATTAAGCAGCAAGTTCTTAGGGGAATGCTTCTTCTTCTTTTTCTTTTTCTTCATCATTATCATCTGCCTGTTTTCTGGGTTTGGGGTAGCCCATTCAGAATTCTGCTTGTTTTTCTGAGCAGCCTTAAGGTGTGGTGCCTGGCGACATCTTACTACAGCAGTGATGAAAATAACTACAACGACAGTTATGGTGCCAGCAACAGCTGCAACCAGGATCTTGACATAGTCACTAGTTGGTGAGGATACATCAGCTATCTCAGTATTTGGGGTCACTGGTGCTTCAGTGCTTTTGCGCACCAGTTCATTAATCAGTGTAGCATTGGTCACCGACTCATTCACGAACAGATTGACAATTACAACACTGAAGAGAGAATCAGGCTGTCCTAAGTCATTAGCTTTGACCAACACTCTGTGTAAACCAAGGTCTGTAACATCACATTTCTCCATCAATGTTATGTTGCCTGTTTCTTGGTCGATTGCAAACAGATCTCTTGTGTTTCCTCCTACAATGCTGTAACGAACCTCTGCATTCATGCCAGTGTCATTGTCAACAGCAATTACCTGAAAGACCACTGTGCCTGGATTAGTGGACGGTAGAACCAATTCATAAGAACAGTTGGAAGGAGGGACAATGAAAACTGGTTTGTTGTCATTGACATCAACCACATTTATGGTTACTTTGGCACTTGAAGAACGTGATACTCTACCACCATCCTCAGCCTTTACATAGAAAGTGTAAGATTCTTGTTTTTCTCTATCAAATGAAATATTTGGTCGGATGACACCAGTTTGTGAATCAATGGTGAAGTCATCATTCTCATCTAAAATGGAGAGCGTAACTGCAGAATTGTCTCCATAATCAGGATCAGTTACAGTGATTAGTCCTACTGTACCATGCCTTGGAAGGTTTTCTGGGACATAGAAGTTGTATTCATTGTGAGTGAAAACTGGGCTATTGTCATTCTGATCAATAATGCTTACAAAGACTGTGACATTGCTGGTTAAGGGTGGTACCCCGTTATCTTTTGCCAGAATTGTGAATAAATATTTATCCTCTTTTTCTCTATCTAGTTTCTTCACTACAGTCAGCATGCCTGTACGACAATCCAGGCTGAATTCAGGTGGAGCATCAGGGCCTAGCAGGTAATTGATCTTAGCATTAGGCCCACTGTCTGCATCCATTGCACTTACTTTCGTCAACTGGATGCCAGGAGAGTTATTCTCAGGAATAGAAACAGTTACGAAAGACTGGGTGAAAACTGGAGCATTGTCATTTTCATCTTTCACTTTGATGAAGAGCATTGCTGACTGATTCAAAGGAGGTTTGCCAGCATCTGCAGCCAGTAATTTAATGGCATATTCTTTTGTGGACTCATAGTCAAGATATGCTGCAGTCTCCAGGAGGAACTGATTACTGAATACTGGCCTTAATCTGAAAGGGATTTCATGATCTGTGAAGCATGTCACCCTGCCATTATGGTCCGCATCCTTATCCGTCACAGTTATGAGAGCAATTTTGGTGTTGAGTGGAATATTTTCTGAAAGAACAACTGTGTCATTGACAGGATTGACGATGTATCTTATGTCAATGGATGGGACATTATCATTGACATCTGTAACATTTACCAGCACCATTGCTCTTGCTGGCATCAATCCACCATCACTTGCCAAAACCAGTAACTTGTGGTTTGGTGTTTCTTCCCTATCCAGTGGTTCTTTGATTGTGATAAGTCCAGTGGTGGCATTGAGGTGAAATAATCTCCTGGCAATGTTGGAGACTAGATTGCTGAAAGAGAAGTGGATCTTGGCATTTTCACCTATGTCAGCATCTGTGGCATGGAGCTGTGTCACTGAAGTGCCTACAGGAGCATTTTCTGGTATACTGACTTCAATCTCTGTCTCCTTAAAGACTGGGTGGTTGTCATTTGTATCAGTAACACTCACTTGCAAAATAGCAGTACTGGATCTTTGAGGAAAGCCACCATCTTCAACCTTTACTTTCATCACGTAGGTATCCTTCTCTTCCCTATCTAACTCCTTTTGAACAATCAGTTGTGGCATCTTGTCTCCTTCTGGTGTTTCAATGACATCGAGGCCAAAAATGTTTTGACTCTGGAAAACATGCAATGAAACAGAATTAACTTATGTTAATATAAATTAATATATTAATATTAATATGAATAATAAAATATAATTTAACTTATGTTAGCTTATCTAATGAGAACAATTTTCAGTTTCTTGAAGCCACATAAAATAATGGGATCAGTTCAGAAATAGGTGCCAGAAGACTTCAGTTCTAAGTCTCAACTCTGCCTATAACAAATATCGTGATTACAAACAAGTTACTTTACTTTTCTTGATATTTGTAAAATTAGAGAACTGTACTAGAAGATGTTCTGGGGACAGGAGGCTTCAGATTGTAGCATTTTATGGTAATATATGTAACTCATTTATGTGAGCTATTTAAGTTTTTTTAAATTATGTGAACTATTTCAGTTTTTTTAAATTAATTAATTTTTTATTTCATTTTTCCATAAGTTATTGGGGTTCAGGTGGTATTTGGTTACATGAGTAAATTCTTTAGTGGTGATTTGTGAGATTTTGGTGCACCCATCACTGGAGCAATATACACACCACCATATTTGTAGTTTTTTATCCCTCGCCACCTTCCTTCTCTTTCCCCGAAGTCCCCAATGTCCATCGTATCATTCTTATGCCTTTGCGTCCTCATAACTTAGCACCCATATATCAGTGAGAACACACAATGTTTGGTTTTCGAACTATTTAAGTTTTCAAAAGAAAAAAGTATATTTTAAAAAGAATTGTCACTAAATTTTTGCAAGATAAATGAAGCTGTAAGCGAATTATCCAAGATTATTCCAAATGAATTAAAATATTTTTTACTGTAGATTTCAGTTGCCTAAGATGCTTTTTCAGTACTAAAGTAAGCACCAAAATAAAAATATTCCTCCAAGACAACATCATAAGTATCATATCTAATAAATACAGCTAAAACCTTTAGCAGATGGAAAAAAAATACACAAACTGGTTAAAATATAAATTTGTATAAAATACAAAGAATTTCAATATTTCCCATAGGAACACACAGTTAAAATGAAATTATCTCAGAGATTAACAATGCAATGTTATTTTCTTACTGTTTTTTTTTTAACATGCAAGCACAATGAACTAAAATTCACAGGTCAAGACCTCAAATTGAAAAAGGTAGCTTCGGATAGGACCTATTTTCAATTCATGCCCACGAAGTCACAGTATGGGAATATTTAAAAAACAATCCCCTCGGCCGGGAGCGGTGGCTCACGCCTGTAATTCCAGCACTTTGGGAGGCCGAGGCGGGCGGATCACGAGGTCAGGAGATCGAGACCATCCTGGCTAACACGGGGAAACCCCGTCTCTACTTAAAAAATACAAAAAAAAAAAAATTAGCCTGGCGTGGTGGCGGGCGCCTGTGGTCCCAGCTGCTCAGGAGGCTGAGGCAGGAGAATGGCATGAACCCCAGAGGCGGAGCTTGCAGTGAGCCGAGATGGCGCCACTGCACTCCAGCCTGGGCGACAGAGTGAGACTCGTCTCAAAAAAAAAAAAAAAAAAAAAAAATCCCCTCCCTGTACTACAATAAGATGATCCCTACACACAAACGTAGTGATCTTGCCAGCTTACCGAGGAGAAATGAGAGAGGAAGATTCCTGTCCAGTGTTACTTGCAGCATTATGACAGAGATGAATGAGATAAAAAGGTACTGGAGGGTATGAAGAAAAGATCGGAGGAGGACTTTAAGATTCCTATTCATGGGTGATTTATGAACAGATATATACACACACACACACATACACATATGTACATCTAAATAATTTTTAATTCTCTACTACATTTTTAACATACATGTTCTGGACAAGTGGCATGGATTGGTTATTGATCTCTCATTTATGTGCTGTATCATAAAAGAACAGGATAAGATCTGAGGTTATAGTTTTGTCATACCACTGTCTAAAACAAGATCCTAAAAATTAGAACCTAATAAATAATACCAGGTTTTCAGAGACTGCTAGAATATATGATCAGTTTATAAATGTATTTCAATCACATTATCTTTAAAAAATTTACCTGTCTTATAATTGCCTATATATAGTCTTAAACAATATCCAAATGCATCTCATTTTTTCCTCTTATGAATTACTTGAAGATATTTCTGCAAACTTTCAGATTTTGGGGGGGTGCTGAGATTCACTTATACTTTTATTCAAATGCAGTGCCATAATATATCTTTGTGGAGGAATTAGATGTTTATTACAAAATTTAAGATGGCATTTCAGAAATATTAATTAAAATCATTAGTTTGTTCCAACGTTATTTAAAAAAAAATTTCACAAGAGCTAACCAAAGTATATTAGTTATTTTGTTTTTAATTCATACAATAAACGTGAGCATTCTATTCCTATTTTACTCAGAGCAATAATCAACCTGGCTTTTCCTTGATTATATAGTAAGAAAAACATTTTCATGTTATACGTATTTATATTTGAAAATTAGCAAGCAAAATCTATTATTTGATATACTGCATATTTTAAGAAAAAATAGAATTTCATGACAACATTGAATGTAAGTAAATACCATAACATACTATTATAATTTGATCTAAACAAATTTAGTGATTAATGATAATTTAATTTTTGTAATGATATTCCAAGAGGTTTTTAGGAAGGTTCAAATCCAAAATGTCTATTTATGGGTAGAAAAAATAGTTTCTAAATTGTACTTCATAAAATCCATGGCACTTAATACTATTCTTTTAATCCTTGACATTCCAATACTGAGTGGCTAATATAGTGAGAGCATTCTCCTAGATGCCAAGGTCATGGTGGTGAGTAAACATATTTTACTAATGTGATAAAAGGTAAGTTCTAGTTAAGGTGAAAGAAAAATCAATAACTATGGATTTAATGATGGTATTGACACTAACGGATTTACATTAAGAGAATCACTACATTTTTAATAAGAGCTATATGGGGAAATTGTAAGTTATTATTAGAGGTTGCATAAACAGAAACAAAGATAATATAATATAAAAAGAACAAGGAAAATGTTCCAAAGTTCTTAAGTTTCGGAGCCAATTATCCAATTTATGAATACAATACATCTGGGAAAACGAATATGTAAGTTTTAATTTTAAAATTTATGTATTTATGTTTGTGCATTTCTTGTTTATATATTTAGTTTTTACTTTTATGTGTTTGTCTGAATTTTGAGTTGGCCTTTGCTTTCCAAAGCAAATTAAGGCAAGCTTGTGTCAGATGAAAAATCCAAGATCAGCATACTCACTGTCTTTTAATTACTTTATGTGAAATGGCAATAATCTTAAAAATATATTTTTCTAATTCTCAAGGTGATAATGAAATGTACATATTAGTTAATGGATAATGTCACCATTGCTATTCTGTCTTTCACAACTACTCTGTTCAATATGATGGTAATTAGCCCCAAAGGAGCATTTAAATTTAGATTTAAATTAAATGAATTAGATTAATTTAAAACATCAGTTCCTACTTGCACTACCCATATTTTAAGTTCTCAACAGCTCCATGTGGCCAGTAGCTACTACGTTGGACACTGCAGATGTAGAACATTTTCATTATTGCACAAATTCTATTGAACTGTACTATCCTAAGACATCATGTTTTTCTTTAAAAAGAATCTATGATTAGCCAGGTGATTGCATGCATAACCCCCATTTTTCCAGATTTTTAGAGTTCTACAAAGACTTGCTGAGCAAACATATTTAAACTTAATATTGTCCACGGGATTTGAACAGGAGTTGCCCACAGGTTAAGACATAAATAATTTTCAACAAAATTTTGGTGAGATATCTAAGTTGACGTCAAAGTATAGTGCCAACATGAGCTTACTATTATTACTGAATGATGATTCCAAGACTGTTTTCTGTTCAATCTCCTTCAGGAATAAAGAATAACTAACACATGAATCCAACATCAGTCCTACCCCAAATGTAGTTAGTTCAACTGAGCTCACATCCACATGAGCAATTAAAAAACTGAAGCCTTTTGCCATATGTTTGACCATGACAGGAGGACAGTGAGAAAAATGAAAAAGAAGATAAAACGTATGGCTCCTTAATTCATCATCTCCCTATCTTCAGCACCGACACATCCTTATATACAAAAAAGTTAAAAGTTTGGAAGAATTGACCTGCACTACCCTGAATTCCAAATCCACTTAAAATTATTTATTTCTGTGTATAGGGGCAAACTCTCTATGTGTATATCTCTAGGTACGCCTTCATATACTAAATAATGTGAGTGTAGGGTAATATGGCATGAAGCTTTGTTTAAATGTATAATCTCTAAAGATATAGCACCTGGCATATGTGAACACATTCAGAAAACATTTGTTAGATAAATAAATGCATGAATTAAAGTAGTGGCTCTTATTTTAAAAGATAAAAGAAGAGCAGAATTTGGTTGTTCTTAATTCTCAGTCTGTATAGGCACAGGAATACTCTATAATTGTTGACTTGGGTTTTTTTTTTTGTCTTTTATTTTAATAAAACTGTCCAGAAAACAATTTCAAAATTATTTCCTGAAACAACTACTTCTTTTCTGTTCAAAAATGTAATAAAAGCCAAAGTGTCAATTGCTAGTAAAATTTTACAACCTAGTTGTAAAACTTGATTTTCAGAATAAATTATGACAAATACTAAGTGTGGTATGTAGCCAGTGCATTATTGAAAAGATGCAAAACCCTACATCTGTCAAACATGGATACGTGTGATCAACAAAGAAAACAAAAATCAGGGAAGAAAATAATATATAAGAACTGCATGCAAGAATAATTTACACATGATATGTTGATTTTTGGATTCTGATATCTGAAATGGCATTGATCTCTAGTATACAAAAGTGCCAATTCAGGTTGAGGTCATGAAAAATGCATGGACTTTCTAATAACCTCATCCTAATAACCTTCATTTGTGAGTGATATTTCTTCCTAAATTCAAAAATAAACTTTAGGATTGCAAACCCAAGACAAAAACTGCTGAAATAAGCAAGATAAAGCCCTTCTGAGACTTTAATTCTTTGTGGAGATTTGTAAAATCAAAAAAGAGAAAGTTGACGTTGGATGTGAAATTTGCAAGAGAAGTTTTTTTTTTCTTTTAAAAAATTGATAAAGGATATTCATTGCCAAATAGAGAGCCATATATTTTGTCTATTGTCCTGGGAAAGAATTAACGAGACAACTGGAGAAAACTTTAACATTTTTGACACATGCATGTGCAAGACACCACTTCATTGCCTATTGGAAGGCAATAAATAACACAGCACTTTTAGAGCTATAAATCTGGTACAGTTGCCCAGAAAATGCATACAGTGCCAGTAAGTACTAAAAATAGTTCCAAAGAGATCTAGTTCTAAAACTGATTAAAAGCCATTTACTCTTTAGATCGAGGAATGCTGGTGGAAAGACTCAAAATTTATTTCTGACTTTCACCACTGCTTGATTTATCAATAACTAACCTGATATTTAATTTTTTTTCACTTTTCTCTTAGTATTACTGATACATCTTTGGGCCACAGGAATGCAAGAACATAGATTCAAATGGATAACACTACAATAACATGGCTGTTTTAGAAAACATTAAGGAAATACTTTAATACACATTGAATATTCTCAATACAGATATAATAAGTATTATCATAAATTCACTTTCATTCCACTAAAAATTCTTGGTTTGCTATAGGCTGTCTAAAACTATTAGGGGGAAAAGCAACTGTTGCTTATATATTCAATACTGTGGTACCTTTTAGAGTCTATGCACTACTTCTAGAACATTTATTTCAGAATTCATTTGTAGCCTTGTCAAGGGAAATACAATAAAAAACGGATTACAATAAAATGTCCCAAGCCGTTAGTCACATATCTGCCGATAACCCTAATGTCACCAAGTCCCTCGCTACTTTAAAGTCATACTAAGGAAAGGAGAGTGATGTGTAAGAAAACACCATCTCTCTTTGGGTAAGAAAACACCATCTCCCTTTGGGTAAGAAAACACCATCTCTCTTTGGGTAAGAAAACACCATCTCTCTTTGGGTAAGAAAACACCATCTCCCTTTGGGTAAGAAAACACTATGTCTCTTAGGAAGAAATAAGTTTACATTAAAATATTAATAATAGTATTGTTAATTTTGATAAAGCCACATACAAGGTTTAAGATATTATACATGTATTTTTTTTCCCACTAGGACTTAGCAAAACCTATTTTGTAGAACAGTACTATTCATAGCATGTGGTTCTTTTTTTTAAATGTTAGTCCAAAGAATAGGAATTTCTGTCATTGATTTTTTTTTCCCTATTGTGTCAGATTTCAAAATTAAGAACAGTCTTTGTTTTTCCCTTTTGACAAAAGAGTAGGCACTCAGGAAGATTCTTGAAAATGATAGAATTTTTGTACTAAGTTCTGTTTTAATGTGTACTTCCCCCAACTTTGTTTTTATAAGAAAATATATAATAAATACCATTTCATTTTTTCTGGCCTTGTGTTCACTATCACTACTCTGGTTTCTCCATCTGAGAGAACAATCAGATGATTTTATTACGTTATTTGGAATGTGCACTCAGATTGAAATGTCTTAAAGTGTTAATTTAAATTCACAATGTTTTAAGCTGGAACAAAGGAGATTTAATTGAAGACATCAGGGTTGTTATATCCACGAGAACAGTGAAGCACATCTATTTTTCAGGTCCATTTTTTTTAGTCTATTCTTCCCTTGATTTTGAAAAGTCAGCTTTTGGCTTTCAGAAATAAAGGAAAATCTTAAACATATGACTTAATGTGAAGTATAGAAATGAAACACAAGACATAATCTGATTAATTCTGTAAACATCCTAGGAGGAACCAATCATTTTTTACTAGCATGCATAATAATTCAGAATTCTCTTTTTTACTTGTTTCATTTGCTTGTGCTCACACGTGCACTTGCATTCTCTATCTCGCTCTTTGACTCTATCTCTGTCTCGCTTCAGATTCTAAAAACTGCAATGGCTAAGCATGCCTTATACTACAGCAAAACTCTTTAATATTATGCAAATGTTTAAAATACAAATTGGCCTTGACCCAGAGATTTCATTTATTTGAAAATATTTCCTTTTAAAGACTGTATTTCAAGCATGTAATTTTAATCACTAAATGCTTTTAATTGGGAAGATATGCAATACAAATGAAATGCCACTCCTAATTGTTGCTAATCAGCTCTTTTTAGCAGCTGCTCTCTTGTGCTTAAGTTAGATGAGCTGCATTCATAACAAAAATATAGTATATTCAACCACTGAATACTAGTACTAGAACAGACTTCAGATATCATCTAGCCTTACTTCTCCTCTTATGAAAAGGACACTAAGACACAGTAAGGTTAGGTGACTTGCCCGTGATCACACAGCTGGTTTATTGCAGAACCCGATTTGAAAGCCAAGTCTCTTAGTTTTTAGTTCAATGATTTTTTCACTGAAATATGGTTACTTCTCAAAAGGAAGTCCTTTTGATGCTGGCAAGAACTCTGTATTCTGGAGAGCTCTCAGTATGAGAAACTTATCAGGTAATTACTGCCCAAAAAGAGCAAAAACAAAACAAAAACTATTGTGTTTTCTGATCCCAGAATATTGAGCTACTGATAAAAAGATTTCTTCCCTGCTCCCTTCAAAACTACCACCCCTAAAAGTAATGTTTATTGAAAAAAGAAACCAAAGAAATACCATCTAAAATTTTAAGAGTATATAATTAAATACAATTTTAACTTGCTCATTTAAGAATATGAATAAATATTGAGTGCTATTATTTCTATGTATAAATTGAGTCAGGTTCTCAAAACAAAATTCACCGTTACTATTCTTCAATAGCTGGTATAAAGTATTTTACATTTCTTAGAAGATTTTCTTAAAAATTTCTTGTAAAAAGGTCCTTTAAGAACATTCTAAGAAAAGTCCAAAAGCTTTTTATGTTGCAGGTGTACTTTATCTGAACTATTGTTTTAAAGAAGCAGGGTAATGATCTAATGGTAAATTTTAATGAAAACTTGTGATTAGGTTAAACTTTAAAAAAATCAGTAATCAAAAATGAAAATATGATCTTTCACTAATAGACACTGCTGTAAACCTAACTGATTGCTTATTAATATCAGGAAAATAAAACTAAAGTTGCTTCTGGTTCATTGTATGTCAGAGAAAACCTCAGGTAAAGGAAGTCAGTAATAATACAACTTCAAGAAGGGAAAATAGTGCTAAAAATTTAAGATCATATGAAGGTGTTTTATCTTTTAAGTCTCAGGGCTTCTTGAGTGCTTCTAACTCTGATTGGTTCTACCTTCTAAATTGATAAAAGACCTCAACCAGTTTCTTTTGGATCTACTATCATCAAAGTCCAGAAATCTCCTTTTCTCCAAAAGAAGATTTCAGTTTCTCTATCACATGAGAAGGCCATTTCTTCTGTGTCCCATGGCCTCTGACTATTGATTAAATGGACGTCATAATAAAGATGGTGGCAAATTTTGGTGAGAGAAGTTTGGTAAATGACAAATTTGTCTGTGGATCACATTCTTTTGGAAATGGGTAAGCATTGTAAGAATAGTTCGTATCTTTTGCTCTTTAATGTAAATACTTTCAAATTGGCAGTAACTAGTCAGAGATGGCTCATTCTAATCAAGTCCTTGGTGAATAATTGGAAGTCATTAATGCTATAGTGGGTGAATGACAGAATCTTGTGGTAGATTTTTTGTTGTTGTTATTTTTGGTCACTAAAACATTGGACACATATATGAATGAAAGTCCCAGATTTCTCAGTGACCTGGTTTTTGAGAAGTAGGATGTAGCCCAAGTAGAATCAAACCTCCACAGGCAGGGCTGTGAAGCTGAAGGATGGCATGGGAGAGGCAGCAAACTTGGGTCTTTTTTCCCTTGAACATTTCAAACAGATCAAAAAATTTTTTCCCAGTGGAGGCAAAGGACTGGGAATCATAGACGTGTCTTTTTTTATAAATCTGGATTTTAACTAAAGTGCATATTCTTCTTTGTTGGAGGTAAGACTAGTCAAGGAATGGGGAGTATGGGATAGTCGTGATATGTATCCGGGATAAGTGATAACTGAAGTAAAAAGAGAAAAGTTTAGGGCAGAAAATACGAGGCCATGCACAGAGGGGCTAAAGAAAGCTTCAGGTAAGTCCATTTATAAGGTCTATCCAGTTGGCCTGACACCATGGGATATATCTGGAGATGTTAAAAGGGCCTTACCTCTGACTCATACTTTCCTGCTTTAATTTAGGGGGAGGCAGAATTCATTGCCATTTGTCCTAATAGTTTCTGTTTTTGTTTTAGAAGAAAGTACCATGTCTTCTGAGATGATTTCTGACTCTTCATTAGCTCTGACTCATCTTAAAACAACTCATTGATAGGAAAAATGCCACCAATTTTCTGTAAGCATAACTACTGTTTATATATTTAGGGAGTCTTTACCTACTCAAATTTACTAGAAGTATTTAATATTTCTAGTTAAGATACTATGCCCCATAGCAACGAAGCTAGGAGTGATTTAAGTTATGTTTGGGATCAAGTTGAATTAAGAGAAACAATGATATTTTTGTACTACTAGTGATTTTTTTCTTCAAGTGCAGTGAATATAACACACTTTAATCAGGGCATCAATACAATATAATCTCTAACCTCCATCCAGAGATTAATAACATGTATGAAATTACACCAAAATTAATTAAAATGATGTATTGAAAGTCAGAACCAGTATTTTATGGCACAATATTCAGCAACTATGTAAGTCATTCGAATAACTAAAATTTCCATTAATATCCAACTAACCAATTCTTTACAGACCCAGCAAGTGACAAGCTTAAAGACACTGGTCCCAGTTTTGCTCAATGAAACACAGACATTTTTAATGACTGATAGCAGTTTAGATAAAAATGATTATGGGTGGTTGGTCAGAAATATTTTTTCATATGCCACAATACTAAAAGAAAAAAAATACTATAATGAAAGACAGAGCAAGATGGCAGAATAGAAGCTTCCATTGATCATCCTCCCCACAAGGACACAAATTTAACATCTATCTACAAAGAAAAAACACCTTCATAGGAATGAAAAAATCAGGTGAGCACTCATAGTACTTAGTTTGAACCTCATACCCCAAAAGAGGCACTGAAGAGATTAAAAGAAAAAAAAAAAGTTGAATCACCGAAGCCACTTCTCCTCCCCCAACTGCTGCAGTGGCCTCATGGTACAGAGAGCTTCTCTGGGCACTGGGGGAGGAAGAATACAGCAATTGTGAGCCATTGAACTCAGTGCTGTTCTGTTAGAGCAGAAAGAAATACCAGACCAAACGCAGCTGACAATCGCCCACAGAGGGAGCATTTAAACCAGCCCTATCTGGTGGGGAACCACTGATCCCAGTGGTCCAAATTTGAATTCTCACAAACCTTGCCACCAAGGGCCAAAGTGCTCTAGGTCTCTAAGTAAACTTAAAAGGCAGCCTAGACCATAAGGACTACAACTCTTAGGCAAGGCCTAAGGCAGAACTGGGCATAGGACAGTGGACTAGGGTGGCATGCAGCATACTGAGACATCAGCTGGGGAAGCATCCCCTGTCCCCTAACCCAAGGCTGCACAGTTCATGGCTCCAAAAGAGACACCTTTCTTCTACTTAGGGAAAGGAGAGGTAAGAGTGAGGAGGTCTCTCTTTTACATCCCGGATACCAGCTCAGCCACAGCAGGATAAGGCACTGGATAGAGTCATGAGGCCCCCATTCCAGGCCCTAGCTCCCAGATGACATTTCTAGACAGCTGGCTTCAGGTACCAGCATGGCAACAGGGGAGCAGAGCACCAAGTGGGCTTTTGGGGTCCTCAATTCCAGGACACGACCCTTGGGTAGCATTTCTGGACCTGTGCTGGAACAGAGGGGAGCCCATTACCCTGAAGGGTGAGTCCCATGCCAGGCAGCAATCACCACAAGCTGACTTAAGAGCCTTTGGGTCTTAAGGGAATATCAGCAGTAGTTTGGCAGGACTCCTTGTGGCCTGGGGTGGCAGTGGCTACAGGATGAGGCTTCTCTGCCTTTGGAAAGTACAGGGAAGCAAGGGAAGGATTGCATGTTGTGGTTTGAGTGCCAACTCAGTCGCGGTACAATAGAACAGCAGGGAGACTTCTAAGGTTTTTGACTGTAGTCCCTCACTTCCAGATGGCACCTCTGTACCCACCTGGTCCCAGAGAGACCTTGTTACCCTGAAATGAAAGACATAGACCTGGCTGGCTTTGCCACTGGCTGACTGTAGAGCCACAGGTCCTTGAACAAGGGTGAGACCCAGTGCTGAGCTTGAACTTGGGTGAGACCCAGTGCTGAGCTGGCTTTAGGTCTGACCAGGTGCAGTCATAGTGGTGAAAGCCACAGTGGTGCTTGTGTTACCATATCCCCAACCTTAGGTGGCTCAGAACAGAGAGGGACTCTGCTTGAGAAAAATAAGGGAACAGAACAACAGTCTCTGCCTGGTAATACAGAGAATTCCCTTGGATCTTGTCCAAACCATTGAGGTGGTGCCTCTGTGAGTTTGCAAGAACCACAGTGTTAGTGGGCTTGGAGTGTACCCTAAAGCACATACAGCTTAGATCACAATACCAAAGCCCTTTCAAATACCTGGAAAGCATTCCCAAAAAGGATGGGTATAAATAATTCCAGACAGTGAAGAGTACAATAAATACCTAACTCTTCAATGCCTAAACACTGAAGAACATCTATTAGCACTAACACCATCCAGGAAAACGTGATCGCACCAAATGAACTAAATAAGTCACCCAGGACAAAGCCTAGATAAACAGAGATATGCAACCTTTCAAACAGAGTTCAAAATAGCTGTGTTGAAGAAACTCAAAGAAATTCAAGATAATGTGGAGAAGGAATTCAAAATTCTATCAGAGAAATTTAACAAAGAGATTGAAATAACTAAAAATAATGAAGCAGAAATTCTGAAGTTAAATAATGCAATAGATATACTGAAGAATGTGTCAGAGTCTTTTAATGGCAGAATGAATCTAGCAAAAGAAAAAGTTAGTGAGCTTGAAGACAGGGTATTTGAAAATACACAGAGGAGACAAAAGAACAAAGAATAAAAAACAACGAAGCATGCCCACAGGATCTAAGAAATATTAGTAGCCTCAAAAGGGCAAATCTAAGAGTGACTGGCCTTAAAGAGGAGGTAGAGAAAGAGATAGGGGTAGAAAGTTTTTCAAAAGAATAATAACAGAGAACTTTCCAAACCTAGAAAAATATATCAATATCAAAGTAAAAGGAAGTTTTACACCAAGAAGATTTAATGCAAAGACTACTTCAGGTAATTAATAATTAAACTCCTAAAGATCAATGATATAGAAAGGATCCTAAAGACAGCAAGAGAGGGAAAATACACAAACACACACACACACACACACACACACAATGGAGCTCCAATACGTCTGGAAGCAGGCTTCTCAGTGTAAATCTTACAGATCAGAAGAGAGTGGCATGACATATTTAGAGTGCTGAAGGAAAATAAACTTTTACCTTAAAATAGTATATCTGGTGAAAATATCCTTCAAACATGAAGGAGAAATAAATATTTCCCCAGACAAAAGCTGAGAGATTTCATCAACACGAGATCTGCCCTACAAGAAATGCTAAAGGGAGTACTTCAAACACAAAGAAAAAGACATTAACGAGCAATAAGTAATCACCTGGAGGTACAAAAGTCACTGGTAACAGCAAGTACACAGAAAAACATAGAATATTATAACACTGTAACTGTAATGTGTAAACTACTCTTATCCTAAGTAGAAAGAATAAACAATGAACCAATCAAAAGTAATAACTACAACCACTTTTCAAGACATAGTCAGTACGGCAACAAAAAGTTAAAAAGCTTGGGGATCAAGTTAAGGTGTAGAATTTTTATTAGTTTTCTTTTTGATTGTCAGTTTATGCAAACAATGTTAAGCTATTATCAGCTTAAAATACTGCATTATAAGATGGTATTTGCAAGCCTCAAAATAACCTCAAACCAAAAAACATAAAATGAAAACACAAAAAATGACAAGCAAGAGACTAAAACATTTCACCAGAGAAAATCTCCTTCACTAGAGGAAGACAGGAAGGACAGAAAGAAGGAAGAGAAGACCACAAAACAACCAGGAAACAAATAATAAAATGGCAGGAGTAAGTCCTTACTTATCAATATTATTCAATGTAAATGAAATAACATCTTCAATTAAAAGACAAAGAATGGCTAAATGGATGAAAAAATGAGAACCAGTGATCTGTTGCTTATGAGAAACACATTTCACTTATGAAGACACACATAGACTGAAAATGAAAAAGAGAAAAAGATATTCCATGCCAATGGAAAACAAAAAAGAGCAGGTGTAGCTATACTTATATCAAACAGAGTAAATTTCAAGACAAAAGCAATTAAGAAGAGAGAAAGTCAGTATATAATGATAAAGGTTTCAATTCAGTCAGAGGATACAACAATTTTAAATATATATGCACCCAACACTGGAGCTCCTGGATATATAAAGAAAATATTATTAGAGCTAAAAAGAGATTGTCCCAAGTACAATAATAGCTAGAGACTTCAATGCCCCACTTTTAGCACTGGACAGATCTTCCCAACAGAAAATCAACAAAGAAACATCAGACTTAATCTGTACTATACACCACATGCATCTAATAGATATTTACAGAACATTACATCCAACAGCTGCAGAATACACATTCTTTTCCTCAGCACATGGATCATTGTCAAGAATAGACCATATGTTAAGTCACAAAGCAAGTCTTAAAACATTCAAAAAATTGAAATAATATCAAGCCTCATCTCTAAGCACAATAGAATAAACCTAGAAATCAATAAAGAGAGGAATTTTGGAAACTATACAAATACACGGAAATTAAATAATATGCTGCTTAATGATCAGTGGGTCAATAAAGAAATTAAGAGGTAAATTGAAAAGTTTCTTGAAACAAATAATAAAGAAAACACAGCATACCAAAACCTATGGGGTAGAGCAAAAGCAGTACCAAGAGGGAAGTTTATAGCTATTAGTGCCTACATCAAAAAAGAGGAAAACCTTCAAATAAAGAATCTAACAATTCATCTTAATAAGTAGAAAAGCAAGAACAAGCCAAACCCAAAATTAGTAGAAGGAAATAAATAATAAAGATTAGAGTAGAATAAAATGAAATTGAAATGAAGAAAATGAAAAAAGATTGTTGAAGAAACAAAAAGCGGCTTTTTAAAATAGTTAAACAAAATTGACAAACTGTTAGCCAGATGAACTAAGAAAAAAGAGAGAGGATATAAATAAATAAAATCAGAAATGAAAAAATGAGACTTTACAACTGACACTGCAGAAATGCAAAGGCTCATTAGTGGCTACTATCAGCAACTATATGCCAATAAATTGGAAAACCTAGAAGAAAATAGAGAAATTCCTAGACACATAGAACCAACCAAGATTTCACCAGGAAGAAATTCAAATCCTGAACAGGCCAATAACTAGTAGTGAGATCAAAGCTGTAATAAAAAAGCCTCTCAGTAAAGAAAAGCCTGGGACCCGATAGCTTTACTGCTGAATACTACCAAACATTCAAACAAGAACTAATACCAATTCTACTGAAACTATTGCAAAAAATAGAGGAGAGAATATTTCCAGACTCATTCTATGAGACCAACATTACCCAGATACAAAAATCAGACTAAGACACATCAAAAAAAGAAAACTGGGTGTTGGCGGGGCCAAGATGAGTGGCGGTGGTGCCAAGAAAGCTGATTAGATGCAGGTGTGGTTGGCAGCTCTCACCAAGAAGAACAAAAAAAGCTAGTGCATCCTGCACCATCAACTAAGGTATCCAGGTTCTCACATTGGGACTGACTAGGCAGTTGATGCAACCCATGCAGAGAGAAAAGCACGGTGGAGTGATGGCCCATCTGCTAGTTGCACAGGGCAAGGGAAGTTCCTACCCTCAGCCAAGGGAGGAGGTTATTGTGCTACTCTGCTCAGGAAATCATGCTTTTTCAACCGATCTGCACAACTCAGGGATTAGGAGATTCCTTTGTGAGCCTATGCCACCAGGACTTTGGGTCCCAAGCACAGAATTGTGCAGAATCTCAGCAGCCGTTTGGGTTGGACCCAGCGGTAGGTAGCAGGCTGGAGACTGACTAAGATGACCAAGTTCCTGGGGGGAGGTGCGGCAGCCATCCCTGTGGCTCCAAACAGCCATTTTCTGCTGCCAGGGCCTGACAGACTGGAAGGTTTCGACTGGGAGGAATTCTCCACAGTGCAGCACAGTGGCTGTGACAGACTGTGGCCAGATTGCTTCTTTGGGTGGGACCTGGATCTATCCCTGTTCACTGGGCAAGGCCTCCCTACAGGAATATCAGCAACTCCAGTCAGGGGTTTATGGACAGAACTCTGATCTCACTGGGGCAGACACAATCTGAAATGATAAAGGGGATATCACCACCTACCCACAGAAACACAAACAACCATCAGAGAATACTATAAACACCTCTATGCAAATAAACTAGAAAATCTAGAAGAAATCGATAAATTCCTGGAAATATACACCCTCCCAAAACTGAACCAGGAAGAAATAGAATCCCCGAAGAGACCAATAATGAGTTATGAAATTGAAGGAGTAATAAATAGCTTACCAAAAAAACAAAGCCCAGGACCAGATGGATTTACAGCTGAATTCTACCAGAGGTACAAAGAGGAGCTGATACCATTTCTTCTGAAATTGTTCCAAACAACTGAAAAGGAGGGACTCCTCCCTAATTCATTTTATGAGGCCAGCATCATTCTTATACCAAAACCTCGCAGAGATGCAACCAAAAAAATAAAAATAAATAATGAAACTTCAGGCCAATATCTTTAATGAACATCAATACAAAAATCCCGAATAAAATACTGGCAAACTGAATCCAGCAGCAAATCAAAAAGCTTATCCACCACGATCAAGTCAGCTTTATCCTCAAGATGCACGGCTGGTTCAACATACACAAATAAATAAACATAATTCATCACATAAGCAGAACTAAAGACAGAAACCTCATGCTTATCTAAATAGACACAGAAAAGGCCTTCAATAAAATTCAACAACACTTCATGTTAAAAACTCTCAATGAACTAGCTATCGAAGAAACATATCTCAAAATAATAAGAGCCATTTATGACAAACCCATAGCCAATATCATATTGAATGGGCAAAAGCTGGAAGCATCTCCCCTGAAAACCGGCACAAGACAAGGATGCCCTCTCTCACCACTCCTATTCAACATAGTATTGGAAGTTCTGGCCAGGACAATCAGGCAAGAGAAAGAAATAAAATATACTCAAATAGAAATAGAGGAAGTCAAATTGTCTTTGCAGATGAGATGATCCTAAATCTAGAAAACCCCATTGTCTCAGCCCAAAAGCTTCTTAAGCTGATAAGCAACTTTAGCAAAGTCTCAGGATACAAAATCAGTGTGGAAAAATCACAAGCATCCCTAAACACCAACAACAGATAAGCAGAGAGCCAAATCATGAATGAACTCCAATTCAAAATTGCTACAAAGAGAATCAAATACCTAGGAATTCAGCTAACAAGGGAAATGAAAGACCTCTTCAAGAAGAACTACAAACGACTGCTCAAGGAAATCAAAGAGGACACAAACAAATGGAAAAATATACCTTACCATGCTCATGGATAGGAAGAGTCAATATTGTCAAAATGTCCACACTGCCCAAAGTAATTTATAGATGGTATTCCCATTAAACTACCATTGGCATTCTTCACATAATTAGAAAAAAAAACTATTTTAAAATTCATATAGAATCAAAAAAGAGACTATATACTTAAGACAATTCCAAGCGAAAACAACAAAGCTGGAGGCATCACACTACCTGACATCAAACTATACTACAAGGCTACAGTAACCAAAATAGCATGGTACTGCTACAAAAACAGAAACATAGACAAATGCAACAGAATAGAGAACTCAGAAATAAGACTGCACACCTACAACCATCTGATCTTTGACAAACCTGAAAAAAAAAAAACAAGCAATGGGGAAAGGGTTCCTTTTTTAATAAATGGTGCTGGGAGAACTGGCTAGCCATATGCAGAAAATTGAAATTGGACCCCTTCCTTACACCTTTTACCAAAATTAACTCAAGATAGATGAATGAATTAAATGTAAAGCCCAAAACTATAAAAACCCTAGAAGAAAATCTAGGCAATACCATTCAGGACATAGGCAAGGGCAAAGGCATCATGATGAAAATGTCAAATGCAACTGCAACAAAAGGAAAAATTGACAAATGGGATCTAATTAAAGAGCTTCTGCACAACAAAAGAAACAATCATCAGAGTGAACAAACAACCTACAGAATGTGAGAAAATTTTTGCAATCTATCCCTATGATAAAGGTCTCATATACAGAATCTATAAGGAACTTAAACAAATTTACAAGAAAAAAAAACATTAAAAAGTGGGCAAAGGACATGAACAGACAATTCTCAAAAGAAGATATACATGCGACCAGAAAACATATGGAAAAAAAGCTCAACATCACTGATCACTAGAGAAATGTAAACCAAAATCACAATGAGATACTATCTCAGGACAGTCAGAATGACAATTATTAAAATGTCCACAAAATACAGATTCCGGCCAGGCTGTGGAGAAATAGAAAAGCTTTTACACTGTTGTTGTAAACTGTGGATTCATTAAACCTCTTTTTCTTTATAAATTACCCAGTCTCGGGTATGTCTGTACTAGCCATGTGAGAATGGACTGATACAGTAAACTGGTACTGGTAGAGTGGGGTGCTGCTGTAAAGATACCCCAAAATTTGGAAATGACTTTGCAACTGAGTAACAGGCAGAGACTGGAACAGTTTAGAGGGATCCTAAATAAACAAGAAGATGTGGGAAAGTTTGGAACTTCCTAGAGACTTGTTGAATGACTTTGACCAAAATGTTGATAGTGAAATGGACAATAAAGTCCAGGCTGAGGTGGTCTCAGATGGAGATGAGGAACTTGTTGGGAACTGGAGCAAAGGTGACTCTTGCTATGTTTTAGTGAAGAGACTGGTGGCATTTTGTCCCTGCCCTAGAGATTTGTGGAACTTTGAATTTGAGAGAGATGATTTAGGGTATCCGGCAGAAGAAATTTCTAAGCAGCAAAGCATTCAAGAAATGACTTCGGTATTGTCAAAAGCATTCAGTGTTATGTATTCACTACAATATGGTTTTGAACTTATGGAATTTATGTTTAAAAGGAAGGCAGAGCATGAAAGTTTGGAAAAATTGCAGTCTGACAATGTGATTGAAAAGAGAAAGCCATTTTCTGAGGAGAAATTCAAGCTGACTGCAAAAGTTTGCATAGGAAACAAGGAGCCAAATATCAATCGAGAAGACAATGGGAAAATGACTCCAGGACATGTCAGCAGATTTCATGGCAGCCTCTCCCATCCATCACAAGCTGGGAGGCCTAGGAGAAAAAAATAATTGTTTCATGAGCTGGGACCAGGGCCTTGCTGCTTTGTGCAGTTTGGGGACTTGATGACCTACATCCCAGCCATGGCTGAAAGTGTCCGATGTAGAGCTCAGGCTGTTGCTTCAGAGGGTGGAAGCCCCAAGCCTTGGTGGCTTATACGTGGTGTTGGGCATGAGGGTGAACAGAAGTCAAGAACTGAGGTTTGGGAACCTCCACCAAGATTTCAGAGGATGTAGGGAAACAACTGGATGTCCAGGCAGAAGTGTGCTACAGGGGCAGAGCACTCATGGAGAACCTCTGCAAGGGCATGGCAGAAGGGAAATGTGGGGTGGGAGCCTCCACAAAGAATCCCCACTGGTGCACTATCTAGTGGAACTGTGAGAAGAGGGCCACTGTCATCTAGACCCCAGAATGGTAGATCCATTGACAACTTACACCATGTGCCTGGAAAAGCCACAGACACTCAATGCCAGCCTATGAAATCAGCCAGGAGAGGGGCTGTACCCTGCAAAGCCACAGGGGTGGAGCTGCCCAAGACCATGGGAACCTACCTCTTGCATCAGCATGACCTGGATATGAGACATGGTGTCAAAGGAGATCATTTTTGAACTTTAAGATGTGACTGCCCTATTGGATTTCAGACTTTTATGGGGCCTGTAGCCCCTTTATTTTGGCCAATTTCTCCCATCTGGAATGGGTGTATTTACCCAATGCCTGTACACCCATTGTATCCAGAAAGTAACTTGCTATTGATTTTATAGGCTCATAGGTGGAAGGGGCTTGCCTTATCTCACCTGAGACTTTGGACTTGGGCTTTTGAGTTAATGTTGAAATAAGTTAAGACTTTGGAGGACAGTTGGGAAGCTATGATTGGCTTTAAAATGTGATGACATGAGTTCTGGGAGGGGCCAGGGGCAGAAAAATATGGTTTCGCTGTGTCCCCACCCAAATTTCAAATTGCAGCTCCCATAATTCCCATGTGTCATGGGAGGAACCTGGTGTGAGGTAATTGAATCATGGAAGCATTTCTTTCCTGTGCTGTTCTTGTGATAGTGAATAAGTCTCATGAGATCTGATGGTTTCATAAAAAGGAGCTCCCCTGCACACGCTCTCTCTTGCCAGCCTCCATGTAAGACCTGCCTTTCTCCTCCTTTGCCTTGTGCCATGATTGTGAGGCCTCTCCAGCCACGTGGAACTGTGTGAGTCAATTAACCCTATTTTTCTTTATAAATTACCCAGTCTTGGGTATGTCTTTATTAGCAGCATGAGAACAGACTAATATAACCTAGGACCAGAAATACCATTTGACCCAGCAATCCCATTACTGGGTATATACCCAAGGGAATATACATTATTGCACGATACAGATACATGCACATGTATGTTCATTGCAGCACTATTCACAATAGCAAAGATGTGGAATCAACGCAAATGCCAATCAATGATAGACTGGATAAAGAAAATTTGGTACATATACACAATGGAATACTATGCAGCCACAAAAAGAAATGAGATCATGTCCTTTGCAGTAACATGGGTGGAGATGGAAGCCATTATCCTCCGCAAACTAACACAGGAACAGAAAATCAAACACCACATGTTCTAACTTATAAGTGGGATCTGAACAACGAGAACGCATGGACACAGGGAGGGGAACACCACACACTGAGGCCAGTTAGGGAAGGAGAGCATCAGCTAACTAGCTAATGCATGCTGTGTTTAATACCTACATGATGGGTTGATAGGTGCAGCAAATCACCACGGCACACATTTACCTATGTAATGAACTGCACATCCTGCACATGTACCCT